>NT_187595.1:0-169134 GCF_000001405.40 Homo sapiens
AATAGCATAAATAACTTACATAGCAGACACTATATGTGACCGAATCTTACTTTCTCCTCTTTTGTTCTTTATAATGGGCATTTAGGGAACACAACAGATAGATATCCAAAAACTATTAGGAAAAGGATAATTTGGTATTCTATGTTTTAATTAATAAATTTGATGACCCAAAAAGATATACATATTATGTTAAGGATAAAGAGATATGCTTTACTTTCTGGTTGAATATTTTTCTTCAATAAATTAAGATAAATTTTAAAGACATAATTTTTATTTCTGATTTCAGTAGTATACTTTTTTATGCCATTTTTGTTTTATTACCACAAATTAAAGTTTTCAAAATGCAACTGAAGATCAAACTGTCACCAGGCACAAGAGAAAGTCATTGTGTCTACAGGAAAATCTCAGTATTCACAGATACATAAGTGTTAGGGCTTTGGTTGGCTCCTGGCTGAACAGGAATGGTGGGGGTTTATAATGCACAATTTTTATTCAAAATAACATCAATGTCTTGCTGAGCTATCTCTACAGTCCTCAATTTTGAGGAACCCTCTGCTCCTCCTATCCATGACCATTCCCTGTATACCCACATCACACTTCTCGACAACCATTTTTGGTTCTCCTCCCAAGGGTATTATAGTTAACCTTGGGAAATAAAAATAAAGAGAAGATAAGGCATGATTTTTTAAAAAGCAAAGACAACAAGGAAATAGAAAATTTAATAGTTATAGAATAGAAACAAAGCTTGTTCATTAGGTCAATAAACAGAACAGGTAGAAGTGACATTAAAATCAAGTTGGCAGATTATGTTTCATATAAAAATTAAATCTATGAAGACCACAGAACACAATTCTCAAAACTAGTATTTCCTCATCATTTCTCATTTTAGTAAATGGCAGTACAATCTACGTAATTGCTAAAGAGAGAAATTTGGAATTATTTTTAACCTTCTTCTCCCTTACTTACATTCAATCCACCATCTGATCTTAGTACCTTGGCCGGGCACCATGGCTCACGCCTGTAATCCCTGCACTCCAGAGTGCAGCCTCCCAGAGGCTGAGGTGGGAGGAGCACCTGAGGTTAGGAGTTTGAGACCAGCCTGGCCAAGATAGTGAAACCCCCTCTCTACTAAAAATAAAAAAAATTAACTGGGCATGGTGGCGAACACCTGTAATCCCAGCTATTCAGGAGGTTGAGAGAGGAAAATCACTTGAACCTGGGAGGCAGAGGTTGTAGGGAACCAAGATCACACCACTGCACTCCAGCCTGGACGACAGTGTGAGACCCTGTCTCAAAAAAAAAAAAAAGAAAAGAAGAAAAAAAAAGAAAGACTTGCTACCTTAATACTTAAAAATCTTTAAATTCCTACAGATTTCCTCTACCTTCGCTGACAACTGCTTCTTCAAGTTATTACCTTGCTATGTTACCTGGATTCAAATAGTAACCATCTAACGTGTCTTCACATCCATTCTTTCTACTCTTCTATCAACTTTTCATGCTGCACCCATGTTTACAATGATTGCTATTGTCTTTCTGTGGTTTAAATAATGCCAATGTCTTCTCTCTGGGTATGTTATCCAGGAAAAAAAAAATCTAATTGTATCGGTTAGTACTGTTTTTAGGAAAATTAACTGAAATTTAATTCAAATTAACATAGCCAAAAAAGAATACATGTTGACACCTAAAATTATAAGTTCATGGACAACCCAAGCAATATCACAAAAAAGATTTCTCCATCTATTTTCCCTGCTCTCCTCTGTGGATGACTGTGAGCAGCTTTAGATTACATCTTTGCCACTCCAAATTAATTAAAAAGGTGGAAATGTCTTTCTCTCAATATATGGGGGAAAAACTCTTTGAGCTTGACTGGCATTTGGTCCAAATGTGTAACATAATGATTCTGAACCAAACTCACAGTAGTGAAAGTACTAATTAACTTAGAGTTAGGTCCCATGTTTACCTCTGCAGTTTGGGTCGCGTCAGCAGCAGCATCTAACCATAGTGAATTGAGGAAAGCCTTGATGTATTGCCACATTATGATGGTGTAAACCCTATAGATTTATGGGTTGAGAGAACCTTGATGTTGAGCATGTAATAAATTTAAGGAAAGAATGCAGCCCAGGTTTCCAATGACAGCTCCTCTGCAAGATGAGTTACTCCTACTCCTTGCTACTTTTTGAAGTTACAGAAAAGTGAAAAAAAAAAAAAAGACAAAATATCTTGGCCTTATGCTATATTGCAAAGGAAGTGAGCAAATGGTTTGGGATAAATAATAATAGACTAGGTGTGGGCAACATAGTGAGACCTCATCTGCACAAAAAGTTAAACGAAATAGCCAGGCCTGGTGACACATGCCTGTACTCCTAGCCACTCAGGGAGGTGAGGCAGCCAGATCCCTTGAGCCCAGGAATTTGAGGTTATGAGCTACCACTGCACTCCAGCCTGAGTGACAAAGACTCTGTCTCTAAAAAATAACATATGATAAAAAAAAAATTTAAATGATAATAGACTAAATCAGCATTAATTTCAGAGTGAATAAAACCTGCAAACAGAGCTGCTTCTGTGTGAACAAGATAAGAAATAATAATGCAAGTTTGAAAATATCAAAGAGCAGGATGGGGGTAAAGGAAACATTGTATGTAAAAAGGGGTAATATGTTTCCTCAAAAGATAAATAACTCAGGGAAGAGAGAATATTCTTCCCAAATGTTTCAAGCTACAGAATAATTTAATAATATTAAAAAATCAATTACATAAGAACTATAGATAAGGTGATATATCAAAAGAATGAATTTAAAAAGTAGACTGCAGAACTGTGTGAAACAAGCAGACCATCAAACTTACATAATATAAATCTATGAATAGATTATAAAAATGAAGCAGAATAGACACTAGTGACAATCACATTACTGACAAAGAGTAAAAGCATGTTTTAAATGACAGCAGTTATAGACAATAATTTTAATACTATGAACCCAAGCAATGTACAAGTAATAATAACACGAAAACCTGGAAGGTAGAAGTAAAGGAGATGAGACATGATGGATGTCATCATTCAAATCACATGAATATAAGATTCTAAAAAGAAATATTTAATTAAAAATATTGATTCTAACTTCTGAATGAATTTCATTAAATCATTTTTAAGCTTTCCAGTATTATTTGGCATATATTTTGCAGTAAAAAATACATATTGATAAAGAAATACATATAAAACTATTTCCATTCATTTTATATTGAAATTGTCTACCATGACATTTTTAATTAAAATGAAATTTAGTATTCATTAATTAAGCCTTACATTCATAAAATGATGACTTTTTCATGATGATATGGCTGATGTTTACTTTGGACATAATATTTATTCTATTTTATAAAAGGTTTATGTGTGCAGGAAAAGAATATGGTTCAGTGTTCAAATTAGTGTAACAAAATACAACTTCTTTTCAAATTATTATTTTTTTTTTGTAGGAGAGCTCTTTGTATATCCAATACTGACTAAAGTCTGCCAAAACATTCTATTTTGATTTCAGTTTGCCAATTACTATTTTTTAATCTTCATCTTTATAGAGTTTTAAATTTTTTTACTTTACATAATTTAAGTTAGTATGTATGGTAAAAATCAGATCATAATTGTTATACTTTCTTATAGAGTTTCTCTTTTGTTGATGATCTATGGACTCTCCCAATTCCATGAGTGCTTTTGCCTTAAGCTTTTAAGCTTAAATACTTGGTCGTATATAGGCAGTATGTTAATATGGTCATTAACTGGAGCTTGGGCATTCTAGTTCTTTTAATTCATGTGTCTACTACTTCTTGCCCATCACACTCAATACTCTGAACTGTGAGCTCTGATTCAGAGTGCTTTTTCAAGTGGAAGTACTGAGAGGCCTGGGCTGAGGACATGTCCCTGTAGAACCGGCCTACGTTCCACAGTGTTCTGAGTTTTATTGCTCTGTAATCAGTTTGGCTGGGAGTGGAGGAAAGGTCTGAATTTGTTGTTAGGATATTTCTGGAGCATATCATTTAGTTTAAATTCCAACTGCAAACCCCTTTGATGCTCAACATAGTAGTTATGAATTCTAAGAGGGAATTAGTTTTGTGCTCATATTCCCTAAATCCATCCTTAGGTATAGTTTTATTGCAATCTTAGTCCCAAATGTTCACTAAATGTTTTATCTATTTCCATAAAAATGAATATATAGTAAATTATAATTCTTTGTTCTAGAACATTTTGTGGTTAAGTAAAAAGAAGCATGACATAAAATAGCATATGTAGTTTTTCCTACAAATATTGCAATTTCCATAGAAAGAAGTGACATATGAATATCAAGAATGCATATGTATGTATAAATGCATATGTGCATATAAACTAACTCACTGTAATTCCATACCTAATGCTTATGAGAGCTCAGAGTTCTTCAAATGATTTATGAGTTCCATGACTTCCTTCATTGTGCATTTTCTGCTTCCATATTCAGTTTCGAGATAGCAATCCCAATGCAAATGCCACTTCTTCATCAGTTTCCACAAAGCAACAACTCACACTCAGCACTTCCTGAGTTTAACTTTACTGAATATTTGGCCTTTCTTGGTAAAGAGTCAGATGACTGAGCCTGTTGCCTACCATCATCTTGCAAGTTTCACCATCTGTCTTCTTTCATTCTCTTTAGACTTAGAACAAGTCCCCACCTCCTGCCATACTTTCCCCTCAAAGGATTCTTCTCACATCCAGGCCTCACAGAGGATAAGTTTATATGCCATATTAGTTAGGGTTCTCTAAAAGGACAGAACTAATAAGACATATGTATATATGAAGGGGAGTTTATCAGGAGGATTGACTCACACGATCACAAAGTGAAGTCCCATAAGAGGCTGTCTGCAAGCTGAGGAGCAAAAAAGCCAATCGGTGTCCCAAACCCTCAGGAGCAGGGAAGCTGACACTGCAGACTTCAGTGTGTGGCAAAAGGCCAGAGAGCCCCTAGAAAACCACTGGGGTGAGTCCAAGAATCCAAAAGCTGAAGAACTTGGAGTCCAATGTTCGAGGGTAAGAAGCATTCAGCATGGGAGAAAGATGAGGTCCAGAAGACTCAGCAAGTCTGCTCATTCTACTTTCTTCTGCCTGCGTTATTCTAGCCGTGCTGGCAGCTGATTAGACCCAAAATGAGGATGGGTCTGCCTCTCCCAGTCCAATGACTCAAATGTTAATCTCCTTTTGCAACACCCTCACAGACACACCCGGTAACAATAGTAACAATACTTTGCATGCTTCAATTCAATCAAGCTGACAATCAATATAAACCATCACAAGTCCACTGCTTGTCAAATTGAACCCATACAAAACTTATCATATCATACATAATCTTCAAATAAAGACAACAATGAGGTCATAATTACACCTAATATAATATAGCTATCCTTCATACAGCTGAAATTGCACTAAGCCTTCACCTAAAATCTATTACATAAAGTTAACAACACTGAAATGCTGATATGAAGTCAATAAATCTTATGTCCCATGATAAAGGAAAAATAAAGGAAAAAAATAAACATTTTCTTAGTATAAGTGTATAAAGCACAAACATGTTCTTAACAAAATGAGGAGAAAATACTCATGACAATTACAGTCCTTGTTTTTGTAACTGGTCACATGGTCGTAGCTGGTATTGATAACTACCTTCTTCTACTATCCATTCTGTATTCCCTTTCCTTCAGCAAGCACCTCAGCAGGTGGTGGTTTTTTATCTGGTGGAGTGGCCCAAACATTAATTCCTGAAAGGTCTGGGCCATTTGTAGTCCTGCCTGGATTGGGCTATTGTAGTTTCCCAATGACCTGAATCTACAGGGCATGGTAATGCTAAAAGACTCCCTAATGATCTCCTGTATTGCATGTATACTCTTCCTTACCTCCATTGTGGAGTAGTAGACTGATTTCATCATTATAGTCTGGGTCAGTCACCCCAGCCAACACTGTAACTCCATCCTTAGCCTGTTGACTTAAAGGTAGGAGGAGCACAAAGTAACCAGGTGGTAATTTTAAACTCCAGGTTAATGAAATCATTGTAGTGTCTCCTGGTGGCAACATTCTTTCCTCTGGAATGAAGACCTCTAGGCCAGCAGAATGTAATGTCACAGGAACAGGAGAAAGACTTTTGCTAGTGGATCACTAGAGGTTATGTTGTGTGGTGCCACTTCCACTTCCACCCTTTGAATCCTGGACCCATAAATCCTGGCTATAGGAGCAAGAGTACCATATATTGGATGCTGATTCAGAGCATACACAGCCTTCTGGAGAACTTTGCCACAGCGCTACAAAGTATTATCACCTAGCTGGCATTGTAATTGTGACTTCAAAAGGCCATTCCACTGTTCTATCAATCCAGCTGCTACAGGATGGTAGGGAACATGGTAACACCAGTGAATTCCATGAGTGTGAACCCACTGCCACACTTCTTTAGCCATAAAGTGAGTGCCTTCATTGGAGACAACGTTGTGTGGAATACCATGACACTGAATCAGACATTCTGTGAGTCCATGGATGGTAGTCTTGGCAGAAGCACTGCCAAGGATAGGCAAAGGCATATGCAGAGTAAGTATCTATTCCAGTGAGGACAAACCACTGCCCTTTCCATGATAGAAGAGATCCAAAATAATCAACCTGCCACTAAGTAGGTGGCTGACCACCCTGAGGAAAGGTGCCATATCAAGGGCTCAGTATTGGTGTTTTCTGCTGGCAAATTATATTAGTTTGTTTCCACACAGCTATGAAAAAAATACCCGAGACTGGATAATTTATAAAGAAAAGAGGCTTAATTGACTCACAGTTCCACAGGACTGAGGAAGCCTCAGAAAAGTTACAATCATGGTAGAAGGTGAAACAAACATGTCCTTCTTCACATGGTGCCAGGAAAAAGAAGTGCCGAGCACAGGGGGAAAAGGCCTTTATTAAACCATCAGATCTCATGAGAATTTGCTCACTATCACAAGAACAGCATGAGGGTAACTGCCTCCATGACTCAATTACCTCCCACTTGGTCCCTCCCACAACACGTGGGGTTTATGGGAACTAAAATTCAAGATGAGATTTGAGTGGGGACACAGCCAAACCCATATCATTCCGCCTCTGGCCCCTCCCAAACCTCATGTCCTCATATTTCAAACCACAATCACACCACTCCAACAGTCCCTCAAAGTCTTGACTCATTCCAGCATTAACTCAAAAGTCCAAGGCCAAAGTCTCATCTGAGACAAGTGACTTCCACCCATGAGCCTGTAACATTAGAAGCAAGTTAGTTACTTCCTAGATACTACGTGAGTACAGGCATTGGGTAAATATACACAATCAAAATGGGAGAAATTGGTCAAAACAAAGGGGTTATAGGCTCCATGCAAGTCTGAAATCCAGTAGGGCAGTCATTAAACCTTAAAGCTCCAAAATGATCTCCTTTTACTCCATGTCTCACATCCACGTCAGGCTGATCACCTTTTTTTCAGCATAGGAGCAAAAGGTGGGCTCCCATGGACTTGGGCGCTCCACCCCTGGGGCTTTGCAGGGTAGAGTCCACAGGCTGGACTCTGCTGCATCCACAGGCTGGTGTTGAGTGTTGCAGAATTTTCAGGCACACAGTGTAAGCTGTTGGTGCATCTACTATTCTGGGATCTGGAGGATGGTGGCCCTGTTCTCACAGCTCCATTAGGCAGTGCCCCAGTGGGGATTCTGTATGGAGCTCTAACCACACATTTCACTTTTGCACTGCCCTAGCAGAACTCCATGAGGGCTCTGCCCCAGAGCATACTTCTGCCTGGACATCCAGGCATTTCCATACAACCTGTAAAATCTAGGTGGAGCTTACCAAACCTCAGTTCTTGACTTCTGTGCACCTGCAGGCCAAGTATTATGTGTAAGCCACCAAGGCTTGGGGTTTGTCTTCTCTGAAGCAACAGCCTGAACTCTATGTTGGCCCCTCTTAGACACAGTTGAGAGGCAGGGCAACAAGTCCTGAGGCTGCACAGAACAGCAAGGCCCTGGACCCAGTCCAGGAAACCATTTTTTTTTTTTCTCCTGGACCTCCAGACTTGTGATGGGAGGGGCAGCCATGAAGATCTCTGACATGTCCTGAAGACATTTTTACCATTGTTTTGGCAATTAACATTTTACTCCTCATTATTTATGCAAATTTCTGCAGCCTGTGTGAATTTCTCCTCAGAAAATGGGTTTTTCTTTTCTATTGCATCCTCAGGCAGCAAATTTTCTAGACTTTTAAGCTTTTTTTCCCTTTTAAACATAAGTTCCAATTCCAAACCATATCTTTGTGAATACATAAAACTGAATGTTTTTAAGAGTACCTATGTTACCTCTCAAACACTTTGTTGCTTAGAAATTTCTTCCACCACAGCTGGGCTCAGTGGCTCACACCTGTAATCCCAGCACTTTGGGAGACCAAGGAGGGCAGATCAAGAAGTCAGGAGATCAAGACATTCCTAGCGAACATGGTGAAACCCCATCTCCACTAAAATACAAAAAATTAGCCAGCCATGGTGGTGCAGGCCTGTAGTCCCAGCTACTCGGGAGGATGAGGCAGGGGAATCACTTGAACTCAGGAAGCAGAGGTTGCAGTGAGCAGAGATTGCCCTACTGCACTCTAGCCTGGCGACAGAGCAAGACTCTGTTTCAAAAAACAAAAAAAGAAATTTCTTCCACCAGATACCTTAAATAATTGCTCAAGTTCTCAAGTTCAAAGTTCCACAGATCTTTAAGGGAGGGGCAAAATGTCGCTAGTCTCTTTGCTAAAGCATAGCAAGAATCACCTTTATTTCAATTCCCAACAAGTTCCTCATCTCTGTTGGAGACCGCCTCAGCCTGAACTTCATTGTCCCTATCACTGTCAGAGTTTTGGTTAAAGCCACTCAACAAGTCTCTAGGAAGTTCCAAACTTTCCCACAACTTTCTCTCTTCTTATGAGCCCTCCAAACTGTTCCAACCTCTGCTTGTTACCCAGTTCCAAAATTACTTCTACATTTTGCAGTATCTTTACAGCAGCGCCCCACTTCCCAGTACAAATTTACTGTATTAGTTTGTTTTCATGCTGCTATGAAGAAATACTGGAGACTGGATAATTTATAAAGGAAGGAAGTTTAATTGACTCACACCTCTGCGAGGCTGAGGAAGCCTCAATCATGGCACAAGGGAAAGCAAACATGTCCATCTTCACATGGCTACAAGAAGGAAAAGTGCCAAGCAAAGGGAGAAAAGCCCCTTATAAAACCATCAGATCTCATGAGAACTAACTCACTATCACAAAAACAGCAAGAGGGTAATGGCCTCCCTGATTCAATTACCTTCCACCAGGTCCCTCCCACAACATGTGGGGATTATGGGAACTACAGTTCAAGATGAGATTTGGGTGGGGAAACAGTTAAATTGTATCATATGTCCATACCCTTTTTAGAATATTTTAACAAAAAAAAAATCACAGATTCATGTGGGACTCCATGGCAAATGTTTCTGGGGCACTATTTTCCAACTTGTTGCAAGTACCTATACAGATACTTTTTCTGTTATTCATTTTTTTCTCTAGGACAAAACAAAGTGAAACTCAGTAAGATTAAGGTCATTGTGGGTGCTGAATTTCACTTTAAATCAATACTGTATTTCATTAGGTGGTGGTGTTCTGAGGCTGATGTAATCCCTTACTTTCTTTGATTCCTGATCTATCTCCTGTCACCCTGCTGATGATGCTAGTGATATTTTTGGATAGGAAAAATGTTTTGGTTAGGAGAATATTACTCTCTGGCAGAGCAGTAGACAAATGAAGGAGGCCTTTCTTCATGAGAATATGCACAGTAACTGTGAAAGCTGTTGCAAATATACATATAATCAGGCAAGAAAATTTCCCCCATCTGAATATGTGCTGATAAAACAGGTGAGCTTAAATATTTGCCCCACCTTTGTTGCCAGATATGAAAGAAACAAAAGGTGATCTGAGCCAACCTAAACCTCCTAGGGTAAATTTGTAAATGAATGAAATGTACAATCAATTTCTATCTTCTCTATTTATGATAGCATTTTGATTTTGATGGGGAAGCCTATGTCCCTAAATTCACTATATTAAATATATTCTGTTTCAAAAATACAGAAATTTCCTTCACCCTAGGGCAATTTCATAAATGCAGATGTTTAAAATAATACAAATTTGCTTCAGCTATTGTTTTATAGGCAAGTCTTTTTTAGAATGAAATCACTTTTGTAGGTCAGTATAACTAAATGTTTCAAATCTGAGACAGTAAGAAAATAAGAAATTAGAACTTCTAGTTATCCACAGTGTCACATATACTCCCAAACATAAAAGAGAAATAAATATTCCCTAGATAATCTTGTAATATTTAATATAATAAGAAATGATTTTATTATATTTGTATTTTATATTCTGAGCAAAATATTGTGGTTTATGGCCAGTAACTGTCCTTTGAAAGGTGTCATTGTCAGAGCAAATTAATTCATGGCTCACACTATGCAATGTCAGCATCTATTGTTATCCTTTTTACTTCTTCCCTGTCATTCAGATTAATAACATAAGTGGTGCTATATGCTTACAGCTTTCTTCCCCTTGTCATTTGACTCAGAATCTCCTTTGTACAAGTAATTTTTCTTCAGAAAATTTAAACGTACTGCAATATATCTATGTTTAGTTGAAAGTGCTATATGATCATTTGTCTTCTGACTACTCTTTTTTTTTGTTTTGTTTTGTTTGTTTTTTTTTTATTTATTATTATACTTTAAGTTTTAGGGTACATGTGCACATTGTGCAGGTTAGTTACATATGTATACATGTGCCATGCTGGTGTGCTGCACCCACTAACTCGTCATCTAGCATTAGGTATATCTCGACTACTCTTATTAAAACGAATTTAATAGACTTTTTCATGTTGTAGATTTTTATTTCCTAAACACTTTGTTGCAGTATGAATTTGAGGTTTTACATCCATTTTGGGCCACAGTCTGAGGCAAAAATTATTGTAACATTGTTTATGACTTTTAAAATTAGCTTTTTTATTAAAAATATTAAATCACTAACATACACAATATGTTTGCTTTTCTTAAGTCTCATATATATGAAATTCTTGCTAACTCTTTATGAAAATCATCCACACAGTATGAATGTATGTGTAAAACAGTGGAAGTGGCAAATTATTCTATATTAAATCATAAGTAACATTAAATATACGTAAAGTTTAACTGTGTAGGTGTTAGGTTAAAAAGAAAGTGCTTGTTTCACTGAACAATGAAAAGCCAGAAACACTATAGCCATTTTCACTCATAATAAACAGGTAGCTGGCAAAGCAATATATAATTTATAGATGACTTAAACAGGCTAGACTTGCATTCTGAAGATGCTGATGCAAGTTTTAATGCAGGAAACAAAAACTACTATAGCTTTTCAAACAGATTATAATTGTTGCAAGATTTAGGTTTGAAGCCAGCGTTCTCTCACTAGGTTTCAAGTTCATGACAATGCAGCAATTGCTGCAATCTGGAAGTGAACAAGCAGCTGTTGAAACCCCTCATGACACTGCAGGAAACCTTTCCTAATTTCACAGATGCCCTACACCAGTAAAGCTGGTTCTTACACATTGAAACATAGAGCCTATCTGTCGCACAAGAGAACACCAGACATGCAGCCTGGGAAAAACAGCATTTGCCTCCCTTTGCCTTTCCACCTTGGGCTTATTTCTTTGAACAACCTAAATAACATCCCAAACCTTAGTGGAAAGAGAATCTGCAAATGTAGATTTTAGCCCTTCAGTCCTTGCAGTAGGGTGAGACTAGGATAATATCAGGGGGTGGGGGTGAAGACTGAGTGTCAATAGACAATAACTAGTGTAGAAAGTATCACTGACACACAAACTGTTACATGAGGTGTTGGGAATGTCCACTCTCCAGGCCTAGGACTGAGATAGATGTACTCTTTAGTATTAGATTGTATTATTTTTCACAATTACCTTCTTTCTCTTTATGAGAACTCTAATCCTTCAAAGAGGGAAGTAAAATTTTAAACACCTAAATCATTTCATCAGGATCCTGGAGGAAGGGAGATAAGACATTTAGTCTCTATGACTCAGTATTGTTTGCCAATGAGCCTAAATAATTCTGTTTTCTCCAAATGCGAAAGATGCTAAAGACATGTGGGTCACTCCTAAATCCTCCTCTGTGACAACTGGGTGTGACAGGCTGACCTCTAGGTGTTCATTTCTAATCTCTTGCATAATCTCCTGCCTTTGAGTGGGAGCAGAACATGTGACTTGCTTCTAACCAACAAAATATGGCAGAGGTGATGGGATGTCACTCCTATGATTCTGCTGTGTTATATAGAACTCAGTTTTGCTAGCCAACTTGCTGCAGCCTCTTCCTCCCTCCCACTGCCCCTCTCTCTCTCTTTATTGCTGACTTTGAGAAATAGAACTGCCATGAATCCTTCAGCTGTAAGAAAATGAATTGTGCTAATAACCTGATTGAGTTGGAATTGTACCCTGTGTCAGTCAAGCCCTCAGATGAGAACACGGTCTGAACTGACATCTTGATTGTGACTTTGCAGAGGACCATATTCAGATTGGTAACCCACAAGTACTGTGAGTTAATAAATGTGTGAAGTTTATAAGATCCTAAGTTTGTGGTGATTTGTTGTTCAGCAATAGAAAATTAATACATGGGGATACAAAGAATTGCAAATATGCTAGAAAAAGAACAATTTCAGAAGAGAAAATATTCAGGAGAGCCTGTTGTTACCAGGGGTCCTTGCTCCCAGAGCTCTCAAGATGGTGGCGGGCCACTTCCAAAATGGCGGGTGGCTTCCAAGATGGTGGCAAGACTCACGTTCTCTGACCTGGGGTTCTTGGCCTCACAGATCCCAAGTATTAGAATCTGGGGCCATGCTGTGAGTGTTATAGCTCTATTAGAAGCTGTGGGTCACAGAAGAGAAACGGGAACCCAGTGATTAGTGTTCAGCTCAATTAGGACGAACCTGGGCACTTAGCCATGCAGGAACAATGGCAAGCCTTTAGCCCTATCAGAAGTGGCAATGGGTGCGTCACTGGATCAGAAGCACAGCAGACACCCTGCCGGATCCAGAGGGATGGAAGTTAGCAGTGGGTCTACAACGGCGGCAAACGGCAGTGGTGGACGGCGAGCGAAAGCTCAGCTCGAGCCGTAACAAACACAGACCAGAAGATAGTTCAGTTGCAAGATTTAATAGAGTGAAAACAGAGCTCCCATACAAAGGGAGGGGACCCAAAAAGGGAGCTCCCACACAAAGAGAGGGGACACAAAAAGGGTAGCCATTGCCGGCTAGAATGCCTGGGTTTATATCCTGATCATTTTCCCTCTGCTGTGCTCTCAGGCGATAGATGATTGGCTATTTCTTTACCTCCTGTTTTTGCCTAATTAGCATTTTAGTGAGCTCTCTTTACTACCTGATTGGTCAGGTGTGAGCTAAGTTGCAAGCCCCGTGTTTAAAGGTGGATGTGGTCACCTTCCCAGCTAGGTTTAGGGATTCTTAGTTGGCCTAGGAAATCCAGGTAGTCCTATCTCTCACTGTCATCTTAGAACAGTAAGTAAGTGATTAAGTAAATTATTAAATAGTATCCAAGTTTGTGACATTTGGATTGCACACCCCCTACCTTCTCCTTATTTTCCCTTCTCAGGGCAAGATAGGAGTCAGACAGTTTGATAGCAGTGAAAAGAATAATAGCATGTTTTTTACCCTTAAAGGATAAATATACAATCATTTTTGAGAGTACAGATCTAAGTGTGAATATTATCACAAAATATTAGTTTATTGTTATTGACCTCATAATTATTTTCCTTGTATATTTCAAGTTAATTTACTGTCTAGTCTAATGAAGGATTTAATTTGTGATTATAGAAAGTAAGTAAAATTAAATGACAGTGTTATGAAAAATCTGTGTTATAAAAGGTACAAATGCATCAGAAAATATTTGTGGCCTGTGGTCCCAGGTCCTTGGAGGCTAAGGGAGGAGCATCGCTTGAGCCTAGCAGGCTGAAGCTATAATGAACCAGGACTGCACCACTGCACTCCAGCCTAGGTGACAGAGTGAGACCCTGTCTTAAAAAAAAGAAGAAAAAGAAAATATTTGCAGTTATTAAACATAATACCTACCCTGTATTGAAACTATATTAAACCTATTTTAATAACTTAAATCCCAAAACAGTAAAAATGATAGAAATATCCCTATTTAAAAGTTAAAGAAACAGAGATTAAGGAAAGTTAAGTGGTGTGTCTAATGTTCAAAAACTAGTAATTGGTAGTGTTTTATTATGTCCTGAAGCTGATTATCTACACTACTGACTCTCTATTTAGGTATTACATACTCAATTATTTCTCTTGAACATCTCACAGTTCTGAATATTTCTAAAGTTTGAAAGAATCATGGATAAGAAACAAGTAGTTTATGATGTAATTCATAACTAAAACATATTTATCCTGTGTTAAAGCAAATATACCTTAAAATATGACACACTAATAATAATTAAGAAGCTAAATGACACCATTTATTCTTAATTATATTACTTTATATATATATATATATTCAGCAATCTGACCAATGTAGTACTTTGCTCTGATACTGTTATTTTGTAATATTTCACTTTTTTCACTGTATCATGATATGGTCTTTCCCACAGATATGAAAATCAGGTTTTCATTTTCTACAACATAAAAGTTAATTTATTCAATAATCTTAATCGATTCTTACATGGTGTTTTCAAAAATGCAGTTGCATTGAGGGAAAAAACCCTTTTGGACTAAATATAACATTTCTTGTTGTTGTTGTTGTTGTTGAATTATGTATTTAATTGATTTATCTCCAGGCTTCTGCAAGCCTTAATTTTGCCTCAAGAAGGATGACTTATTGTGAGGACTAATTTTTCAAACTTATTTCACTAAGGTTGCCTTTACTACACAACACTTATTATTACACAGAGCTAGAGTTCAACAAAATACTTCTGGTGAATCTTTTGTCTAGATATAGTATATAACAATTTCTTCTTTCCAGTATTTCTAAAAAATCTTAAAGATTTAAAAATTGTATTGTATCCTATTTGCATAATTCAATACAGAAACACAGAAAACAAATTGTTTTACTACCATGTGAATTGAAACTACATAAAAACTGTATACATTTTTCTTAGGTGGCATTTAAGGTCATTTATGTAGTTAAGGCAACAGATATGTTGTACATGGGTGAAAAGTTCTGAATATTGATGATTAAAATACGCATATTATTTTACAAATTATACATATGTTGAAAATTAATCTAAATTTCCTACAATGATATCCCTATAGTTAAGAGAGCTGCAAATGAAAAATAGATACTTCACCTATAAAATATAGAACACTTTTGTTTTTGTGTAAAGTATGCCTAAATAATATGATTCAGATCAGACTCTATGCAAATATTTTTGTTTATTTGCTTGTTTTTGGGACAGGGTTTCACTGTCTCCCAGGCTGGAGTGCAGTGGCACCATTACTACAGCTTACTACAGCCTTGACGTCCTGGGTTCAGGTGATCGTCCTACCTCCGCCTCCAGAGTAACCAGTAGCTGGGATCACAGGCATGCCCCACCATGCCCAGCTAATGTTTGTATTTTTTATACAGACAGGGTTTTCTCATATTGCCTAAGCTGGTCTTGAGCTTCTACCTCAGACATTCTGCCAGCCTCTGCTTCCCAAAATGCGGGTATTACAGTGGTGAGCCATTGTGCCTGCCCTATACAGGTATTTGATATAACATTTCATCATGTTTTTATTTGCTTAATTAAATCATCTTATACCTTTTCTGAGTTTTAATATACTTGAGATTTCCCCTTTCTTGATTCTTTAATCCCCTATTTAAATCTTGTTTTTAAACAGGATTTAAAGAATTAAATATACATTGCAATATGGTCAATTGGAATTGAATATTACACCATCTGATTTCTTTTGGAAAGAAAAGGACTAAATATTTAGAAAAAAAATCTAAAGAAAAACATATAAAAGAACTGGAAGTGTAGTGAGTGACCATTATACATACTTTTGTAACGTCAGATTAACTTTATAACTCTAATTATGCCAAGTCAATGCAAAAATTGAAACACATATAATTTTTTAAAATTCTATGTATGATTTGTATCTTAGGTTTTATAATGTACTGATCACCGTGAATTATTTTTAACACCAGTCAGAAGTTGATCTCTACACAGGCCATTGATAATTTTTATTTAATTGCATTTAAATTGAAGTAATTTATCAATAACAGAATCTCCCTTTCAGTGGAACTGAGGAATCAACAGGAGGTTTTGTTTTGAATAATTAAATATATAAATTTTGTATAAAGTTTGTAGCTCCAGATTGGCATTGTAGGGAGAGCAGGCTATAAAGGGTGAGTTGTGCCATCTTTTTACTAGATGGCACATCTAGTTAGCATTATTTACTAGATTTTGGCCATAACTGTCTCCTAGTAAAGACTAAAGGGGTAGGCTTTCAATACACAAAGATATTATTGAGTGAAAATTTTAAGGCACCATAATAGCTAGAAGATATGGTATTGGTTAGGAAAACCTGCTGAATTCCATTGAGGTTGGCTCTTCCATTTTATATTAAATATTGGTCTCAGTGAGAATATTTTAACATCCTTCTGCAGTTGAAGATAACTTTATTTAAATTTGAGGCTCCTCTTTAATTAACCAGAAGAAAAATCAGTTAAAATTCAATGAACATATAGTAATTCTCTCTTTAGTGAGTAGCTATTATTTTGATAAATACTATAATAATTCTTATTATAATACGTGAATGTATATTTCACCATATATAATGTAAGAATATCTCCAGGTAAATCAATACATTAGTGATTTTCTGACATGACTTCTTCTTTGGCCCATTAATTTAAATGGTTAAGACTAATTTTGGTTCCAAATGATGTACTGAGTGGCAGTTTAAATTATTACACCAATCAATTATTTGTATTATGTCAGTTATGATTTCTGTTGCATATTTCATTCTTCCTTATATAAACTTCATTCTTCATTATTCCTTATATAAAAGATGCAACAGAAATCAAATATAATTAAGAATAATTGGTATCATTTAGGTTCTTTATTATTAGTCTGTCATATATTTTTAAGTATATTTGCTTTAACACAGGCTAATATTTTTTAGTTTCTTTTAGATATAAATTACATCATAAAGCATGTTTTCTTATTCATCATTCTTTCAAATTTCAGAAATAATCAGAACTGCAGGATGCTCAAGAGAAATAATTGAGTACATAGTATCTAAACAGAGAGGCAGGTTCTGTAGTATAGATAATCAGCGTCAGGACTTAATAAAACACTACCAATTACTAGTTTTTAAATGTTAGACAAAACACTTAACTTTTCTTAATCTTGTTTTCTTTAATTTTTTAAGTAAGGATATTTCTATCATTTTTACTGTTTTGGGATTTTTATTAAAATAGGCTTTGTATAGTTTCGACACAGGGTAGGTATTATGTTTAATAACAAATATTTTCTTTTTCTTTTCTCCTTTTTTTTTTTTTTTTGAGGTGTTTATTACCAAAGGCAGGCAAGTCCCTCACTGGAGCTTAAGGACAAGTCATGGTGGATTTCCACTGGGCTTCATTCACTCTGAACCTGTGGATTGCAGGTATTAGACTGGCTGGTAGCTTTTGAAAAAGATTGCTTAAAAAATCTCTGTATAACCACAGACAAGCTCTGTCTTGGAAATTTTTATTAAGACATAATGCAAAATTCTACTAAACCGTAACGGGTTATTAGGCCAGAGTAGCCAAACCAATTGAGAGGATGCACAAAATCATAAATGACCAGTAATTTCTAGAAGTGTCTTCTAGGGTGCCCTGCATTCAGGTACAATCTCAGAAGCCCAGTGGAAAACCACAGCCCCTTGTCCTCGAGCTCCAGTGAGGGGCTTCTCTGCTTTTAGTAGTAAACGCCTCTTCTTCTTTTTAATGTAGATATCATTACCCTTACAAAATAAGATAATCAAAATCCACTACAAAACAGCATTTTCAAATCTCACCATACCGAATTACTGTGTGTGTGAATCTTGTCAACAATCCATGCTCTGGTGTTCTACCTGACTACCAAACAGAATGTGATAATAACTTAAAATTTTTTGTTGTTGTTGTTTTACTGTTTAACTTTTATTTTAAGTTCTGGGGTACATGTGCAGGATTTGCAGATTTGTTACATAGGTAAAGGTGTGCCATAGTGGTTTGCTGCACAGATCAACCCATCAGGTAGGTATTAAGCACAGCATCCATCAGCCATTTTTCCTGATGCTCTCCTTACCCCTACTGTCCCCAAAAGGCCCAAGTGTGTACTGTTCCCCCCGTATCCCGTATGTGTCCATGTGTTCTCATTGTTCAGCTCCCACTTATAAGTTAGAACATGCAGTGTTTGTTTTTTTGTTCCTGTGTTAGTTTGCTGAGGATAAGAACTTCAAGCTCCATCCATGTCCCTGCAGAGGACATGATCTCATTCCTTTTTGTGGCTGCATAGTATTCCATGATGCATATGTACCACATTTTCTTTATCCAGTCTATTTTTTGGTGGGCATTTGGATTGATTCCATGTCTTTGCTCTTGTTAATAGTGCTGAAGTGAACATACATGTGCATGTATCTTTATAAGGGAATGATTTACATTCCTTTGGGTATATACCCCATAATGGGATTGTTGGGTCAATGGTATTTCTGGTTCTAGATTTTTGAGGAATCACCACACTGCCTTCCAAAATGTTTGAACTAATTTACACTCACACCAACAGTGTATAAGCATTCCTTTTTCTCTGCAACCTCACTAGCATCTGTTGTTTCTTGACTTTTTAATAATTGCCATTCTGACTGGTGCAAGATGGTGCCTCATTGTGGTTTTGATTTGCATTTCTCTAATGATTAGAGATGTTGAGGTTTTTTCATATTTTTGTTGGCTGCATTAATGTCTTCTTTTCAGAATTGTCTGTTCATGTCCTTTGCCTACTTTTCAATGGGGTTGTTTATTTTTTTCTTGTAAATTTGCTTAAGTTCCTTGTAGAAGCTGGATAGTACATCTTTGTCAGATGGATAGGTTGCAAACATTTTCTCCCATTCTGTGGATTGTCTGTTCACTCTGATGATAGTTTCTTTTTGCTACAAAGATAATAAAATACCTGGGAATACAGCTAACAAGGGATGTGAAGGACCTCTTCAAAGAGAACTACAAACCACTCCTCAAGGAAATCAGAGCGGACACAAAAATTCGTATCTCATATTTGCTTGAAAACTAAAATACATGGAAGATATATTGAGCAAAAATCTTCAGAATTGTACAGTAAACCCCAAGTACCACAAGACCTGTTTATGTGACAAAGATTAACAGAAGTCTAATGTGGTTTACTTTGAAATGGTGCTTTGTCAGGTATACCTATCTATTAGTTCTAAGTACAGCAATGCCAAACAATAGGTATTTTGGTTGCTGTATTGCTGCAAAAGTAAAAACATTGAAATAACATTCCGAGGAAATGTTTTTATCACTCCCAAAAGCTACGACAAAAGTGTGAGACTAAAAGTAATTTTTCATGATATTTCTGTCAATTTATCTGTTTAAAGAGGAGAGATAAATCACTTTATTGTCTATTAATTCGCTAATTTCAGTTTACTCTACTACTCATAGCCATTATAATTTACCATTCTGGTGAAGCTGATTAGGTTAGGTGGCTCAAAGCCAGCAAGCTCTAGGAGTCCCAGTGTCTTCTCATCTGAATTTGATTCCTTGGAAGTTAAGTAGTGAGTCCTGATGTACATACTCCCTAATGATGCATTCAGAAAATGGTACTTCCCAGAATGAACCAATCTCTGGCACTGCCTTTTGAAATTTAATTCGGTTAACTGTTCTGTGTAATAGTTAAGAATTAGACCCGTATAACACTGAACACTTATTTGACAATTGGAACAGTAATTTTTCAGAAGCCTAACAATTCAATCTCATGAAGCTGCTCTTCAGGATCTGCATATATTGCAATTTAGGTTTTTCTCCATAGCTCTATCACTTTCTAGCAAACTAGATATGTTCATTTTAATCGGGTTTGTTTGTCTGTTTCCTTTCAATAGTACATAACATTCTTAAGGCAAATTGTTGTGTGGTGATCCCTACTGTGTCCTACCACCTAGAACAGTGTCTGAAACATAAGAGACATTGAATAAAGTATTCTTAAATCAATGAGTAATGCTCTTTCTCATTATGATTATTGAAATGATTGTTAGATTAACTTTATTTCTGTATGTGCTTCCTATTAGCAAAACCCTCCAAAATGATTAACCATGTAATCCAAAGCAACAATTATCTTTTGAAAACAAAAATGACAAGTTTCCCCATTAATATAAAAGTTAATGTCAGGTATGAGTTATGATTTTTGAACTCTTTATGGGTATAATAAATGTCCATATTATTTTCTTACTTTTATTTGAGTTTTGGGTAGACTAAAATATATTAATTACAATATACAACAGCAAGTGTTTATGAATCCTAAATATTTATGAGCCTTTCTTTTAGGTACCAGATGTACAGTAAGGATAAGAAAATTTCCTGTTTTTCCAGAGTTCACGTTTTATTGAGAGAGATGTATGTACAATAACAAATTAAAGCACACAAAAAAGTCAACATTAAAAGAAATGACACATTAAGCAGTGTAAATGGATAAACAGTGAGGAACCACTTTTTTTTTTTACATGGGTTGTTCAAGATAGGCTTTTTGAAGAAGTCACATGTAGGCAGAAACCAGAGTAAAATAAGAGTGTTATGTTTGTGAATATTTGGTAGAAATGCCTTCTCAGAACAGGGATCAACACATGTAGAGTTTCTAAGAGAAGAACAAACTAGAGAAGTTGAGAACATAAATAAATTTATTTTGGTTATAACTGAGTAGGAAAAATAAATTTGGAAAATTACCTATGAGATTAGTAAGGCTGATACGCATTATTTCTGATTTTAATTTTATTTTGAATATTGCAAGAAGTTAATACACAGTTTAACTAAAGAGATAAAATTAGATTTATTGATTGTTGTTAGATGTATAGATTTTAGGAGACAAAGACTAGCAAAAAAGCTTGTGCAGTAGTTTGGCAGAACACTGGAACTTGCTAGTTTGGTTTATGTATGATTGTGATGGAGGTGATAAGTCATTTGATTTGAGATAGATTTTGAAGCTAGACTTGAAAGAAGTTACAAATAAATTGGATATGAATATGATAAAAATAAAGAAATAGTGAGAATCCCCAAGGTTTTTAATCTAAGCAATTCAGTGAATAGTGTCAAAAACTAAGAAAAAGAATGATTTAAAAATGAACATTTGGCCAGGCGTGATGACTCATGCTTGTAATCCCAGCAATTTGGGAGGCCGAGGCAGGTGGATCAGGAGGTCAGGTGATCGAGACCATCCTGGCCAAGATGGTGAAACCCTGTCTCTACTAAAAATACAAAAAAATAACAAATAAAAAATTAACCGGGTGTAGTCGCGCACGCCTGTAGTCCCAGCTACTTCGGAGGCTGAGGCAGGAGAATCGCTTGAATCCGGGAGGCAGAGGTTGCAGTGAGCTGAGATCGCTCCACTGCACTCCAGCCTGATGACAGAGTGAGACTCCACCTCAAAAGAAAAAAAAAAAGGAATATTTGGATGACAGGCAGTGTGTATGTGGAGTGGATGAAAATCTAAGCATTCTCTTTAGACGTATTTAATTTGAAAAACTTTTAAAATTTCCAAGTGGAGATGTCACGTATTCAGGTGAAGATTAAAATCTGGGAGTCACTAGACTAGAGACACTATTGAAACCATGTAAGTAAACAATATTATCTAGGAAGTGAGTAGAAATAGAAAAGACAAGAAGTTCCAAAGAGTACGTCTTTAGCAAAATGTATACTCTGGTTTTACTGCTGAAACACAACCTGGTTACACAGACTTTGTTGTTATAATCATTACATAACTTCCATGTTTTTATTAATGTAATCTTTAAACATTTTCACAAACACCTATGAGATATTTTCAGATAAAGAAAATATTTTTTGTGTTTGTGCTTTTCTTTGTTAAATTATATAGTTGGATGATAATCTAAAATTCCAGTTAGAATTTATATGGTTTTTCAGTATTAAAGTTTCCTTTCTCTTCTTTCCTCTCCATCCTTCCCATTCTTCCTTGTGTTTCTTCCTTCCTCCCTCCTTTTATTCCCTTTCCTTCCCTTTCTTTTTCATTCTCTACTTCTGTCTCAGTTGCTTTCTTTTTAACAAGATTGAGTGAATTTACATTTAATTACATTATATTACATTAATATTAATGTAATATAATATTAATATTAATATTACATCAATCACATATCACATTAAAATTAATTAATTAATATATAATATTAATGAGTTATAATCTCTTTAACATTGTTGCTAAGCTGCAATAACACTAAAACCTTCTTTAATTTTTCCAAGTTTTTACCAAAACTTGGTAAAAAACCAAGTTAATTTTTCTAATCAAATGGCTATGGCCAATAACTTTCTGCATAAAAAAAGGCCCAGAACTTGAAAATTGAGTAATTTAGTTCACTACCATGTCAATCATATTTAAGTAACATATTGTCAATCCTTACAAAATTTTTATTAGGAATGAATGTTACTGCTTATTTGTTGATCATTTGAGTATGTCATATGTAATATTTTGAAATTCTTGTATATCATTCCTAGAATCAAAATTTAATTTTTAAGCAACCCAATATGTATCAATTTAGTCAAAACCATCTATCCTTAAGGAAAGTAAATGTCTTATAAGAAGAATGAACAGATATTTTTTAAAGAAGTGTTAATTTGTGAGAAAATCTTCATCTGTTTTAAGTAGATTGAACTTCATTATACCTTAACAGCATTCAGTATAATTTATCAAATTTCTATTTTGTCATGGCCAACCCATATTTGTACTTAAACAACCAAGTTCATCTTCCAATATGCCATAAAAACTACAGTAGAGACATATGCCAAATATTTAAATCAACCAAGTGCACACATTTAGCACATTTCTATTTTATCTAGCTAAGCTTTCTAGCACCCATTATTAGAAACAAGTGCCTATATGTTATGTGTGCTTAATTCATTTTTTTGGATATTATATTAGTTGCACAGAAACTGCTGTGTTAAGATAAACTTTGGACATCTTGACATAAAATGTTCTACCTGATTTTTGTATAACCTTTCATGCCTACAGAGATTTACATTTATTATTATTGTACAATACCTGCAGATTACCTTTGAATATCTAACAATGACATGTGCTTTTTGATACATTACAGATGTGAGATTTAATAGTCTTGGGAAACTTAAATTGTATTAAACTTTTATTAACTAAGTATTTTCGCTATGTAATTGAATAACTCAAAGATCTGACAGCTAACATGACAAATAACAAAGATTAAATCTTCATATTAAGTTAAAAGTAACTTGCTTATTTTGAATGAAAAAAGTAAGTAAAAATAAACTTTCAGTAAACATTATTCAATATTTGTTGTTTGAAATTATATTTACTTATAGCACTCATGACCCAAATAATCCTTTGTAAATATTACTTATAAGTAGTTGTCTTCTTTGAAAGTAGTTTTGTAGTATAAATTCTGATGCGCCACGTGTTAGGCCATTCTTGATTGCTGTCAAGAAATATCTGAGTGTGAGTAATTTATAAAGAAAAGAGATTGAATTGGCTCATCATTCTACAGGCTGTACAGGAAACATGGTGCTGGCATCTGCTTGGCTTCTGGGAAGACCTCAGGTAGCTCTTACTTATGGTTAAAGGTGAAGTGGGAGCAGGCACATCACATGGCACATGGCCAGAGTGGGAGCAAGAGGGAAAGTAGGGGGAGGTGCAATGCACTTTTAAACAACCAGATCTTGAGAGAACTCACTCATTCAGGACAGCACCAGGACATAAGGGATCCTCCACATGATCCAATCACCCCCCACCCAGCCCAACCTCCAGCATTGGGGATTACATTTCAACATGAGATTTAGAGGGGACACATATCCTAACTATACCATATCATAAGAAAAACAAATTCATTTCTATTTTATATCAAGACATTTTTACTTATTCATGAGCAAATACTATTGTTATATTTTAATGCAACTTGTATTATCATATTTTAAGACTTCCGATTTTTTAATTGACTTTTAAATAAAGTCACATGCTGCCTTATTATATTCATTGCATTCTCTCAGTGCATTTTATATGACTTAAATTCTAAGTTATATATAGGAGCCAATAAAAGCCTTTGCAAAAGCTTAATGTGTTCAATTGGCTGATTAATTTTTGAAGTTTTATATTAAGATGCAATTTTACCACAAGATAGCAGACTTACTTATGAATTACTAAGTGCCTTTTAGAAATGAGTTTTGTTTTTTTTTTTTTGGTACTCAGTTTGAGCCAGGAATTACATATACCCATGCATATTGAGCACATATAAAATGAAATAATAACATTCATACTACTACTGTAACACTTTTTAATGGATTGAGTTCCTTTAATAAGAGATGAGCACTTCCCTTACTTTTTCCCATTACCCTTTTAATTTTCATATTTTCTTTTTCTTTTGTTTTTAATCTCTTAGCATTTATTCATTAACCAGTATTAACACAGGCATTGATGTCAGTCATATCTGAGCTTCCATGTTTTCTCCACCAGCATTTACCTGTGTAACTTGGAAAAGTAATGTTGTCCCTATGCAATAAAAAATTATTTAAAATAGAAATAATTATAGATTCTAACTCAAGTGGCTAGGAGGAATATTGTAAAAATGGATAGAAAATATGTTTTACACACATATATAGCATTAATGTATTAATATATATTGAATACATTATGTATTAAAATTAATGTAAGAAAGCATCATCTTGTGTGTGATAAATAGGTCTTTCATACAACTTAGCAAATATTGATGATAGTGTTGAGGTGGGTAATCATTTTACAGACTCTTCCATGAGACAATAACTTGACATATACTACCCAATTCCATCTTAATGTCACTCTTTAAAGGTATTTCTTATGACTATTTCATAGAAGAAGCTTAGAGCAGTAAATTGACATCCTGATGTCACATAGCTACAACATAATAAGCTAAGTTTTAAATCTATACTGTATTAAAAATACCATGCTATTTCCAAATGGTGAGGTATTTTCCATTAATTTAAATTAAATATCAGTATTATAAAGAAGAAAAACATTACACACACACACATATTCACATGCATATAGGATATCAGATGTGATGGGGTACTCACATTCCTCATTTAAGTGTTATGGAATAACAAAAAGACAGTTAATGCTAATACATATGTAGTTTCTGCATTCTCTAAAGCATAATCTTATTGTTGTCATGGGGAGGAGCAGATAGCTCTTGCTATACTGGGATGATTTGATAGTCATGGGAGCAGTGCCTTCAAAAGAAACTATTTTTTACTTGTGCTTTGGCATTGGAGGCAAACTCATGGAAGGGAGATCCACACATAGGGCACAATACTTTCTAAATGGGATAGTGTACATTTAAGCAGGAAGGGAATTGGGGTTGAGAAAATTGGAAGGATCAAACCAGAGACAGTGTGGTCTCTGGCAGACAAGCACAAACTGGTATCTCATGTCAGTGATGGGCAGCCAGGACTATTTTAAAATCAGAAATCCAAAAGACATTTGGAATTGAGGAAAGTCTCTCAGATATTAACAGGGATTTTACTACATGGTGGAGAACATAGTATTTTTGAAGGAGAATAGCAAGAATTATGGAGGTACTGAAAATAAATCACTGGAGCAATTTATTGGTATGGAGAATGAACACAAAAAAGGTCAATGAGACCTCAATGACACCAGCAGAATGGGAGCATAAGATTGACACGAAAGTTGAGTAGATACAGTGTTAGTTAAAAGTCCTTGATTTATGCTTTCTTGAGCTAATGTTTGGCCTGGAATCTGGGCCAGACAGATGCTGTCTATAGCCGGCCTCATTCTTCAATGAGAAAAATAAAATGGTCCCATTATTTTTCCATACACAAGCTATAAGTACTAAGCCTCAGACAGGTTACTTATCAAAAATAATTCCATCACCAATTCTTACCCCAGTAATCTGTGAGAGTTTTTAAAGCTCTGGCCTCTTATGTGTTCAGGAAGAAAAATCTTTCAGGCTGTTCTGGAGTTTTCCCATTTTCCCCGCATTTGATATTTTTGTTGTCAGCCAACAATAGCCTTAGTCACAGCAAATTCTCTCTGCCATTTCTATTCTCCCATCTGAACCTAGAGGAGCACTCCGTTCTCTTCTGCAGTCCTCAATACAATCATGAATTCTCTCCTAATTCTCCAAAGCACAAGCTGATCTGTGGATATAACTTTTAATGAGTATATTCTTATAGTCCAATGAAGAATATAATGAAGAGTGTTCATTCCCCACCTCTTGCATGCATAAGAATCCTCTGGAGAGCTTATTATAACAAAGATTCCTAGAACCCACTATTAACAATTTTGATTTGATAGGGCTGGGTTGACTCCCAACATAT
The DNA here is from genome assembly GCF_000001405.40 of Homo sapiens. Lineage (NCBI taxonomy): Eukaryota > Metazoa > Chordata > Mammalia > Primates > Hominidae > Homo > Homo sapiens. The sequence goes on from NT_187595.1 coordinate 26,613, forward strand.
TACATTTCTAATAAGCTCCCAGATGATGCTTCTAGTCCACAGACTTTCCTCGGTGTAGTAAGGATAGAGAAAACCACAGCCCAAGCTAAGTGTCTTTTATAAGACTATCTTGTTCTCTCACTTCAATCTACCCTTAAACTGGACAGGACCTGATGAGATCCCACTTCTAAAAAAACAATTTTCTCTCTTATTGATAATGCTAGAAAAAAACAGAGAAATATTTTGTCCTGAGAGTTCTCTTTCTACTTCATGCAAAGACTCTAACCCCAATGCTTCATGTATTGCCCCAAGATTATCATTTTCTAAAGATTAATTCTAATAGACTGTTTAATTTCCTTCAGGGAAACTCCTTTCTCTAAAGGATGCGATCTATTACTGTAGTTGAGTAAGACAGACACAGATATTTTTGTCATTGATATAATTTTATTTCATTTATTTGAGTAAATACTTGTATAAGACTTACCATGTGCTTTTATGCATTATAAAAAGATTAATTCATCGAATCTTCATAAATGCCTTACAAAGTAGATAATGCTATTAACCTTATTTTCAAATGTGGAAGATAAAATACAAAAGAGAGATTATAACTCCCAACCTCACATAATAAATAAAAAATAATGTGGTCTGGTTCTAGATCCCATACCCTTAGCCACCACCTTATATTCTCTTTCCATTTTGCACTGCAGCCACTCAAAATCTGTATTATTTTTTCCAAGCTTATGTTATTGTGTTAGAAGGTAAGTGGAAAATTCATGTAGAATTTAGAATGGCAATGACATGAGAATCAGAGGACAAACTGGCAAAACAAGAGGCAAGGCAGCAATTGGAAGTTGTATCTCTGGCAATATTAATACTGAGCTTTTCTTTGAAGGGGTCATTGTGACACAAGGTATAAAAAGAAAGATGGATCTCAGCTTCAGCCACATGAATGTATGTAAGTAAGGCCAGAGAATGAAGTGTAAACTGCTTCTAGAAATGTAGGAATTACCTTGGGGTAGGGGGAGAATGGCTGTGGAGTCACAACAGGAGGAACCAGGGTCACAGATTCTGACCCAAGGGCTATGTGGACAGCAACTGTGGCCAACAAATTCCATCTTGGATTTCTAAATGAACTTCCCAAGGGAAGTCTGGATATGAAACTGCAGGTGCTAAAAGGGCAAAAGAAAAAGGGGAAACCAAGGAATACAGTTAAAGTGACTGGAAAGTGAAGGCAGAAAAGGAGCACGAATGGCCTCGGGTGAAAAAGAAGAATTTTCTGAACTTCTGTTTAGTCATCCCATGTGGCCTGTAGTTTGGGGTATTAAAAATTTGTTTTCTTGCCTTTAGCGTGTGGGAGAATGGAAGAAGAGAGTAAGATCTTTAACCTATTACAGAAAAACAGAGGGATGCTGACCCTTCCCTCTCCACTACCTCTGTATCTCCAGCATGTTTGTATTTCCCATCTATGAACTGAATGCCGTACTTTCAGACCTACTGCCTTTGTTTTCTAAATCTGGGCCATAAAATGCTTGGCTGGATTTTATCTCCAGACATCATCCTCAACCACTATCATATGGCCCCACTTGAACAGATGTTGGAGTTATTCTGAGACTAATCTTGACTCGGTAAGTCCTCTTTTCTTAACTTTCGCTTGTCATTCATGGAAATGATTTATAATAAGTATTTTTAAGAAAGACAAGAAAAACACACGGATGGTAGATTCAGGACAACTCAAAAACCAAATATTTGAAACACAGGAAACTCTAATCAGCTCTTGTCCCTCCAGTACAACCTTGGGAAACAAAGACTATTGCACAGATGGAGTGTAGTAACAATGAAGATGGAAATTTCTTTACATAGAATTTCCAGCCATCATTCATGTACTTTTTCCATATCTATGCCTCCATTCTAGTTTTATTCCCCAATTCCTAATATTATATGTCTACCAAATTGTTCTACCCTTATTGCATACTACATTTATTATATCGATGGCCATTCATTAACATTTTATATAATTTTACTGCAATGTACATAGGTTTTGCCATCAAATACTGGCTCCATCACTTCTTTGCTTGTCTCTTTTCCATCTTCAATTTACTCACTTATAAAACGGGATGTGGTGAATCTTACTTAGATTATTGTGGATTTTTAAGGGTAGTATGCATGATGCCATTTATTAAAGGGACAGACATAGAATGAGATATTGTTGGCCAAATACCTGCGACTTTTCTTCTCTTATTTGTGAATGCAATGTAAAGGGTTACGATGGCTATCTGGTGATGTGTGGTGTCATATCTGAGGACAATAACCAAGGATGCCAGTACTGACAGATAAGAGACAGCCTAGATATTGATGATGATATGTTTGAATTTTTGAACAAATCTTAGGCCAACCCATCTTAAAAGTTATAACATAAGCAAAAGGAATTTCTATGATGCTGTAGCTACCGCTAGTTGGGTTTTCTGAATGTAGTCCAGATTCCTTCTCTGATAAGGTTGAAAATAGAACTTGTTACTTCACAAGGCATTAAACAAATGTGAACATGCAGTGAAAAACAGAGAGTATGGGCAGTGACTGTGGAATTATTTTTATCTGTAGTATAACTCATATTGTAATTACTTACCTAACTCCAAGGCTAAATAAGGCTTGTTAGTCAGCAGCGACTTTAGGCATGTAATGAGTAAGGGACTTATGACAGTGAATCAGCAGCTTAAACAACCATGAGAAGTGTTGAGGGTGAAGTGACAAGGAAAATCTCACCTGGATTTCAGAAAATCAAAAAAAGGGATCAAATCAAATTATATTTTTCACTTATTTATGCCAATAATTTTTTTAGAAAACAGATGTTATAATCTTTACTAGCAAGATCAATCACCCAGCTGGTAGATTAATCTCTTTCATCATCTATTTCAATATTATGAGGATTCCCAAATGACAAATAGCAATTTTAAATTCCAGTTCAGAGGGACTATTACTGTGACTACTCAATAAAATACTCAATACATGGTTTTATGGACTGTTTGTCCAAATTGATATGTTTAAATACTTACCACCGATGTGATGATATTAGGAGATGGGAGCTTCGGGAGGTAAAATTGCGTCATGAGGGTGAAGTCTTCATCAGTGTAATTTGTGCCATCATAAAAGAGACCACAGAGAATGCTCTAGCCCTCTCTCTATTGTGTGAGATAACAACGAGCAGTCAGCAGTCTGCAGCTTGACAGATGGCCCTCACTCAAACCAGATAGCACTGGCACCTTTATCTCAGATTTCCAGAATATAGAACTGTGAGAAATAAATTTCTGTTGCTTACAAGCCACCTAGTCTATGGTACTTTTTTTATAGCAGGCCAAACCAACTAAGACATACGGAAACTAAAATTGTAAACCAGTAAAGCCCAGGTTGTAAGAAAAGCAAGAATTTTAGCCCCAAAATGGAAAAGAGCTACTCCTGTTTCCACCTCTTGAGTCTTTACCTGTGTGTTCTGGCTATGGGAGAAGCAGTACACATATTGGACGCAGGTTCTGAGCATACAAAACTTCAGCCCCATAGTGAGCCAGCATCGTATCTCATGGGACTGTGAGAATATCATGACAGATTGCCAGGGAGTTGATGCTGCTTAGATATTGTATGAGGGGCTACACTGATTTGTTTCAGCAAGGAAACTACTAATTGACTAACTTTATTATCATTGCACACTCCATAGTTCATCTGTCATACAAATGGTCAAAATTCATGAGTCAAATGAGGGCATAATATGAATCCTAACACCCGCATCTTTTCTGTAACATTTTTATTGTAAAATATAACACAAATACTACATATAGAAAAATGCACCTATATAATCAAGATTCAGGCCAAAATGGAGCATTTGTAGCACGTAGCACCTTATATATTTTCTACGTGACCCTATCCCCCACCAAAGGTAACCAACATTCCGACTTTTATGGAAATAAATTCTTTGTTTGTATTTATAATTTTACCTCTCAGAAATGTATCTCTAAAAATTATGCTTCAGGTTTTTTCTAATATTTTAAATTTTACTAATACAGTCTCTTGATTACTGTTTGTATGGAATAAATATTTTCACTTTTATTTTTAATGGATGTGTATCCTTATATTTTAGATGTGCCTGTAGTTGGAAATGTATTTCCAACCTGAAAATGTCATTTTTCAGAGTATTTAAAGCATCTTTTTTTAAAAGCACTGATGTACAAGTATCCATCACTAGCTGAATGTATTAACTACTTATTTTAGATAATAAATGATGAGAGTTAACATCATAGTGATGCAGATAACAAAAGATAGCTCAGCAACTTATCTAAATGTAGAAGGATCCTAAGGTTTCATAGCAAGTCTGAGTATCAAAGATTCAAATGGTGCTCAGATTTACTTGGTTTGAACTTACTTTTAAAATAAGAGGTCTTCCTGTCTTAACAGTTTTATGTTTCTATCTTCTTTGCACTTTGTTTCAGACTAATTTGGTTTGTCTTTTCAAAGCTAATTAAGATATTAGCTCTAGATTTTTAATTAATGAAGTTTATTAGGTTGATTTTTTTTTTTCTATTCTTAGATTTCTAAGAGTATGAGTTTTTAGGCTGGGCGCGGTGGCTCACGCCAGTAATCCCAGCAGTTTGGGAGGCCAAGTAAAGCAGATCACCTGATGTCAGGAGTTCAAGACCAGCCTGGCCAACATGGCAAAACCGCATCTCCACTAAAAATACAAAAATTAGCTGGGTATGGTGGCAGGTGCCTGTAATCCCAGCTACTCGGGAGGCAGAGGCTGTAGTGAGCTGAGATTGCATCACTGCACTCCAGCCTGGGTGACAGAGCAAGACTCCATCTCAAAAACAAAACAAAACAAACAAAAACACGAAAAACAAAAGAGTATGTGTTTTTGTTTTTTGTCTTTTAAAAATCATGAATGAGTACTGAGTTTTTAAAATAAATTTTCTTTTTGACATAATCTTATGGGTTATTTTTTATTTTCCCAGTGATAAATTACATTGATTGATTTTCAGATGTTTAAAACGTTTGCATCCCAGGGTTAAACCCTACTTAATAAAGTTTCATTATCTTCTTTAAAGTTTTTTGTTTTTTTAGAGACAATGTTTTGCTCACTTGCCTATGCTGGAGTGCAGTAGCATGATCACAGCTCATTGTAACCTCAAACTCCTGGACTCAAGCAATTTCTCTGCCTCAGCCTCCTGAGTAGCTGGGACTACAGGTGTGTGCCACCATGCCTGAATTTTTTTTTAATTTTTAATTTTTAATTTTTTTTTTTTTTTAGATAGTTTCGCTGTTGTTACCCAGGCTGGAGTGCAATGGCGTGATCTCAGCTCACTGCAACCTCCGCCTCCTGGGCTCAAGCAATTCTCCTGTCTCAGCCTTCCAAGTAGCTGGGATTACATGTGTGTGCCACCATGCTCTGCTAATTTTTTGTCTTTTTAGTAGAGTTGGAGTTTCACCAAGTTGGTCAGCCTGATCTCGAATGCCTGACCTCAGATGATCCGTCCACCTTGGCCTCCCAAAGTGCTGGGATTACAGGCGTGAGCCACCGCACCGAGCCTTTTTAATTTTTTATACAGATGAGGTCTCCTTCTGTTGCCCAGGCTGATTTTGAACTCCTGGCCTCAAGGAATCCTCCCACTTCAGCCTCCTGCAGTGCTATGATTACAGGCATGACCACCCATGCCTGGCTGTCATTATCTTTTCTATATATAGCTAGAATCAATGCACTATATTTTGTCATTTTTATGTGGTTTTATTTCAGAATTATATTGGCATAATAAGTTTAGCAATATTCCTTCTTTCATCTGTATTTTCTGAAAAAAATATAATATTATTTCTTCAATATTTGATAGAATTCATCAGTGAAGTAATGTGAGCCCAGAGTTTTCTGTGAGAAGTTATTTCTAATAATTAATTTGATTTATTCAACCAATATAACGTTGTTCAGATTTTCTAATTTTTCATGGTATCAGTTTTGTTAAATTGTTTTTTTCTTACTTCTTCCTTAATCAGTCTAGCAGAAAGTTTACCAATTTAATTGCTACTTTTAAAAACTAACTTTTTATTACTTTTTATTATTTCTTTCATTTGCCTGCTTTCTAGTTCATTAATTTCTGCTCTTATCATTATTACTGCCTTACTTCTACTGAATTTTGTATAATATGCTTATCTTTTTTTGCTCCTTAAAAATACCAAGGTCATTATTTTTAAACATTTCTTCTTTTCAAATATAAGCGTAGAAAGCTATAAATTTATTTAAAGAATATCTTTAGCTACATCCTACAGATTTTGATAGGTTTTGCTTTTATCTGTTTATTTTCTAATTTTCTTTGCAATTTTCTCCTGAGTCCATAGGTTATTTAGGATTTTGTTGTCTAATTTCTAATTATTTGAGGATTTTTGAGGTATCATTTTATTTAAAAAATTAAATATAATTTCAAAGTCATCAGGGTATATACTTTTTATATTTTCAATCTTTGAGATACATTGGGCTTTGTTTTGTGATCCATCACATGGTCTGTCTAGTGTAATTGAAACTTATCATGGTCTACTTGAATACTATATGCATTTTGTCATTGTTGCATGTGGCATTTTTTAAATGTTAAGTAGGTCAAGTGGGATGATAGCACTATCTTTGTCTTTTATATCTTACTGATTTTCTCTCTACTTGTTCTATTAACTGTTGAGAGAATGATGATATCTCCAACTTTAACTGTGAATTTATCTAGAGCTCTTTATTTTTTTCTGTTTTTGCTTCATATATTTTTGAAACTACCTCCATGATTATGTCCTATTATTTGTTTGTATTGCTACTATTTTTTATAGTTTTAATGATTTCTATAGTTCAGCAAACAGAATACTGGCCACTCAGAGATGACCATACACTAATTCCCAGAACTTATGAGTGTGTTAATTTACATGGCAGTAGAGATTTCCCAGATGATATTAAAGTCAAGAATGAAGAGATAGGGAAATTATTCTGGATTATCCAAGTAGGCCCAATCTAACTACAGGAGTCCTTAATGTAGGAGACATTTTCCCATGAGGATCAGAGAGAAAGCTGCAACAAGGAAAGAGGAATCAGAGACAGGCAGCCTGAGAAGGGCTCAGCTCACTTTTGCTGGCCCTGAGCATGCAGGAAAGAAGTCTTGGGCCAAGAGACTGGGGATGGCCCTCTGATGACAGCCAGCAAGAAAATGGGGTCCTTCATTCTGTAACCACAAGTAACTAAGTTCTGCCAACAACCTGAGTAAGCAAGAATGGATTCTTCCTTAGACCTCTAGAAAGAAATACAGTCTAGTTGACAAATTGATCTTAGTTTATAATACTGTGTAGGACTGCTGTCTTACAGAAATGTCCAATCATATTAGGTGTGCTGGTTTAAGCCCCTAAGTTTGTAATTTGTTATGGGAACCACAGAAGACTAATACTTATAGAATTTGCAACATGCATTTTAAATCTAATCACAGTTTACTTTCAAATGATATTACAACACTTTACAAGTAAAATAATACCCTTCATATCTTCCCCAAATTCATGTCCACCAGGAATCTCAAAATATAACCTTACTATAAAATAGTCTTTGCAGATGTTCTTAATTAAAGATCTCCAGATGAAATTATCTTGAATTAGGATGGGCCCTAAATCCAACCACTGGCATCCATTTAAAAAGAAGAGAAGACATAGAGAAGAACTCTATGTGGAGACAGAAGCAGAAATGGAAATTATTATGTAAGGCAACAATCCAAGGCATATTAAGGATTGCTGGGAGTCACCTGTAGCTAGGAGGAGACACTGGGGGTTTTCACCTAGAGCTTTCAGAAAGGAAGATGGCTCTGATGTCATCTTCACTTTGGACTTCTAGTCCCCAGAATTGTGAGAAAGTGTCTGTAGTTTTAAGCCACCAAGTTTTCAGTACTTAGTTATGGCAACCCTAGAAAACTAATATAATCTGCTAGTTCAATAAGATGTGTGACATCGATTATATGTGGATCACAGTTGAATCACCCAATTAAGCCAAATTAAATTTTTGATCAAAACTTGTGAGCAAAATATAATAGTTTATTTGAACCCCTAAGTTTTGGGAGAGTTTGTTTTGCAACAATAGATGAGTTGTAAATGAGTTGTTTCTAAACCAATAGCATCTCAATAGATAAGATGGAAACCTCATAGCAATCTAAGTGAATGAGAATGGAAATTAGTTGCTTCCATACCAATAGCGTAAAACAAGTGGAACTGATTTTGGGATGAAACAGCAGGCAGAATTTGGAAGAGCCTTAAGGATACAGTTGGTAAGGACTTGAATGGCAGTGAGGAAAATGTTATTGGAAGTTGGAGAAAGAAGGTGCTTGCAATAATGGAATATTTTCTTAGAATCTGGAATGGTTACCTAATTAACTCGGGGGAAATGAGAACAAGAAGTTCTCAAATAAAGTAACAGCATCAGGCAAATATCAAATCCAGAGCATAAAGATATAGTTTAAAGGTAAAGAAGTCAAGGATGGCGTCTCATAGACTGTCTGACGTGCACAAGCTTTCTAAGGATCATAATTGTGAAAGACCAGCTCTGTTAATTAACAAAGATTAACGATTTAAGAATCTTAAAGGAGTCATGTCATGTCGTCATAGATTTCAGCAGTCCTAAGGTATAGAAGTGCTTGTTTGAATTACACTGTGTGCTTAATTTTGTTTAGAGAAGTGTTATTATAATTTGATATACACAGAGCTGCCAATATTTTAAAAGAAATTATACCAAATTGGACTATAAAATGACAAAGTCTGTTCAAAAACAAGAGGCTTTTGTTTCCATGACCAGCAGATAAAATATAAAGTAAAAATTATGTAGCTGAAAAAAAAAAAGAACCAAAAACTATGGCAAATCATTTTTAGGCAGTAGAACTGGGTCCTAATTAAGGAACTGGCAGTATGTACTGGGCAGGAATTCAGAACTGCTGTGAATCACTGGCTGCTATGGTCATCTTCGTTTCCTTCTTGTTGACTGGGACTGCCATCATTCTCAATTTCAAGTTAATATTTCCATTTCAAAATTAACATGAAGACTTTTTCTTAACTTATTCTATGTTTTAAGTCCTTTTTCTATTATTATAAAAATTTTAGCTTCCAAAAAAAGGCTTAGCTCTTTATAACTTAGTGCATTTGTTGTTTTTATTATAAAAGTATAACTATATTCAAACATAAAATACCATTATTGCTTCTAGAAATAAAGTTCCTTGAAGAAATTTAGCATTTCTCTGCAGTTGTTTTGGGGCATAGAATATATCCTAGTAACAAGATAGCTGTACTCAAATTTTACTTAAAAAATATTTTCTACTTGGTTATATTGCAATTTGATTTACCTTTTTGTACAGTTTTAGGATTTGCTTTTGTTCTCAAGTAATGTTTATTTTTCAAATAGGTAAATTATTTGCAAGGCTCAAAATCAAGGCTATCTTACAATTGAGAAATCTTGACCCTATTCCTATTGTCTCCACCCACTCAACACCATTAGGTAACTATTTTGAAAAGTTTCTAGTTTACTTTTCTATATACGGATTACCTAAAATAAGTGCTTGCACATGTGTGTTTGTGTAAACACATATATTTGTGTGCGTGTATATATGCACATGCTCTTATCAAAAAAGAAAACCTGAATTTAATGTTCAAATTTAGAACATTTATAGGTATATCTTTAGATATCGATTTCTTTTTTCTAAAGGGAATTAGGTGATAATTTAGGTAAATATTTTGCCATAGCTTGTCATGTGCTAACACTACAAGAATCTTATTTTCTGATTAATAGATTATTACTACTTTCATATCTAACCCTACAAGACAACTAGTCTAAGATTTTTAAATATCTGCTTCCTGGAAAACAATTTGTTTAAAAATTGCATTAATGAAGATTCTAAACATAGTCTTTTATTTGTTTTTTAAATAAACACTTTAAATATTTAAGGATGCATTATAGCAATTTTCAAACATTTGGTCTCTTAAATTTATTACAGCCTTGAAAAATAGACTTAAAGATTTTAAAGAACCTTAATGCTATGAGTTATTTCTACCTATGTTTACTGTTAGAAAAAAAAAACCTGAAAATTTTTAAAACATTTTATTCACTTATAAATAACAAAAATAAATCCATCGCATGTCAACATGAAAATGTATTTTTTGAGAACAATAACTGAATTTTCCAAAACCAAAACGTAAATTAATGAGGAGTGGTATCACTCAGTATTTTTGCAGATCATTTTAATGTCTAGACAAAAGGCATCTAGCTTTTCACGTTTCTTCTGCATTCAATATCTTACAATATGTTATTAATATTTTTGTTGAAGTATATCAAGAAAATTTGACTTAACAAAAATATCTAGCTGAAAAAGGTAGAAGCATTATAATAATTTTCAGATAATTATGAATATTCTTCTTTGGTACTATACCAAAACTTGACAGGTGGTAGTTTCTTAAAAGTTTGGCTGTAATGTGGAATCTAAGAACATAACAATGAATTTTTGTATCATTTTACATTAAAATTCATTGACTTATCTTGAACTTCGAAAGCATATTTTCTGTATACATGCTTATGTATCTTAATGCATTGGTCATTTGACATATGTTGGTTCACTAAGTTACAAATATGTTCTAGAAGTTGATACACTTCATTATTTGATATAAAAATATTATTGCCAATCTCAATAGAAGATTCTTAAATATTGCAAATCTGTCAAGGTTTGGTGGTCAATACCAGCTTCATAAAATTACAATTTTTCCTAGAAGATTGGATTTTATAAATGGTCATGCGTACTATCATTGTTCTTGAAGTGGCTGGCTTATGTAGTTCATTTACAGAAAACTGTGTAACACCCAAATCAATCTGAAGAGCCATAGTTTGTCTGTCAGTCATTCCTTTAAATGAAATTGGTATTCTGTGAATAAAAGCAACTATTTCAGTTTATGAGCCAGTCACAAAAAATGTTTTTCCTTAAAACAACCATTGCAATTTTATAAGAATTTTCCTTTTCGTCACAAATAATTTTTTTAAAGCACTCCGGAATAGAGATATAACACAATTAATATTTTCACTGCTTTTTCAAGGACATTCTTAAGTAAAACTGGCTCTCTACACTCCCAACCCCAGTGAGTTCATGGTAGTGCAGAATATAATAACTACTAATTCAAGTTGGAAAGACTGCCTTCATTGATGTCAAAATATAAGCAATTTTATCCACATTGATTTCATAACAGTGCATTGTCAACACACAGTAAAAAAAAAAGGGTAATATTGTCTTAACGTTTGTATGAAAATGATCTTGACCTTGTGAACTCCCTGAAAGTTCTCAAAGGGCTCCGGAATTGCTGAAACAATGTTATGAAATCCAATGATGCACTGATTATTTTGTGTATATGTATTTCAAATGCAGTCTGCATCTGTGCACTTTTTAATTTCAAAGTTTTCCTTGATGATTTATTTGTGGCTTAATGTCTCACAAAGGTAATAATTCTGAACGTCATTACCATTATCTGTCCTGAATACGACTTCTATAGATCACTTAATTTGTTCATCCCAATTATTTCTAATCTGTAAAAACTAAATTGCTTATGCTTAATTTGAAGGTGTTATTTATTACTGCAGTAGAGTGAAATGCTGTTATTTTAAAACAGAAATTTAGAGTTTAGAGAAGCAAGACTAAATGTTTCAAGTGTTCCTACCTGAAATAAAAATTAATTTATTTACTGTCTTTACTGTATTAAGTCCATAACTCTCTTATAGATCAAAGTTTTCTTTACATTTAATTATATATTATTCTTGCTGTATTTACTCATATAAAGGACAAAACAATGGAAAACATTTTGATACTATTTTTAACAAAATGCTTATGAAAATTAAATCCCTAGGTGTATATTTCTCTAACATTTGTCTGTGAAGATACGTTACTGATTTTTTATTTTGTTTCTTATTAGTATCTATGCTCTTCATAAGGATCTGGTTCAACTGAATAAACATATGAGAAGAAAGTTCAGGAGAGATTTATTACACTGTTCTTTTCACCTTGATCACAAGTTATTTCTGCATAAGATGGTTATCTTCCCATTTCCTTTGTTAATGGGAAATATACTGTAATTTTTTTATATGATGGTTTGGTTTTCATATTTTATTTATTTAATAAATTAATGTTATGCTATCATTCAATTATTTTTCAAATCTATTTATAGAAATTCACATTCTGGGGTTTTAAAATCTAAAAATTGGTTTCCAGAAAACATTTAGAATAAACTTTTTGATCTTTCACTGTAATAATCATATGCTTTAATAAACATTAGTAATAATAATAAGATTTGATATACTATAAAACAAACATGTTCCTTAAATCTTTGTTCATAAATTTTAAAATACCTATATTTGTACTCTAAGGCACAGCAAAGTGATTCAAAATAAACTTCATTTTATGACTACATTTTCATCCATACTCTGCTCATATCTAAGGCTAGTAATAAATTATTAAGAAATAATTAATTGTGTTTTGCTCTGGATTGTTCAGAGACCAGAATATGTGAGAAATATTCTTCTATCCGAAGTCCCACCCAGGTATATCAGGAAGCCAAATCACAAGGCCAGAACTTTTTAAAGACCTTTTTAAAGGAATGTGTGTACTAGGTAGGGAGGCCCTAACGATATCTTCTTTAGCTCCTTTCATTATATGTTGGCATGGGAAGACTAAGGCAAAGATTTACATGGTCATATTTAATATAGAAGGAAGCACTTGATCATCTCCCCAAGGAACCTATTGTATTCTTCTTAACTTTTTTTTTGTCTTAGTTCTACTTTAGTGTTGACTTCTACGTTGCTTTACGTGTACATTTCAACAAGTATTCGTAAATTTATAAAGTTTTCCACTATCACAATCCAGTTTTAGTACATTCACATCAACTTTCAAAAATTCCTCATGTTCATTTGCAATCTATCTCTGTTCTCTTGCCAGCTCTAGGTTACCACTTATCTGCTTTCTATCTATAAGTTTGACTTTTGCAACAATCTCATATAAATACATTCATGTAAAATGCAGTCATTTATGTTTGGCTACTTTTGCTTAACATGTTTCTGAGATAAAACTGTGTTGTTTCCCGGGTCAGAAAAGTGCTCATTTTTCTACTGAGCAGTATTCCACTCTATGAAATACACATTTTGCTAATTTATTTGCCAGTTGAAGGACATTGTTGTTTGCAGTTTGAGGCTATAATGAATTAAGATGCTATGCACACTTGAATGAAGTCTTTTGTGGAAATGTTTTCATGCCCCTCAGGTGAAAACTTAGGGGTTAAATTGGTGCATCATATGGTACGCACATGTTAAATGTTTCAAAAAACCAAGATTTTTCCAAGTAGCTGTAACATTTTACATTTCTACCAGCAATACATGAGAATTCCAATTTCTCTACAGCCTCACAAATACTCGGTACTATAAGTCTTTTATTTAATTTTTTCTTAAAATAATTTAGCCATTTTAGTATGTGTGAAGATATATCTCACTGTGGTTTTAATTTGCATTTACCTAATAATTAATTATTTTTATTATCTTTTCATAGGCCGGGAGATGGATAGAGAAATAGATAGCTAGAGAAATAGATAGATTAGATGATAGGTGATAGATGATAGATAGATAGATAGATAGATAGATAGATAGATAGATGATAGATAGATAGAACAGATAGAGAAAAGGAAGATTGGCCAAGGATGACTACTATTTACTAGATTTAGAAGATGAAACTTGGTAAAGAAGGTACAAAAGTAATTAGATAATTGATTTTGAAGCAATAAAGAAGAAAAAGGTATGTTTTCCTTAATTATAGTTTCAAAATATGGTTCTTTTCCTCTTGCTCCTCCTTCTCCAATTCTTCTTATTCTTACTCCTATCCTAATACAGAAAAGGAGTGGTATAAAAGAGACTAAGAACTGAGTAAATTGGAATGAAGTGTTGGTATTGAGTTAGCGCAGTGAGTGTAACTATTTTTCTCATAAAAGGAGATCATTTTTCTATAGGAGAGACTGGCATATTTAAAGACGAAAACTACTTAATGATATTAAACTGGAACATTTATAGCATTGAATCTCAGAGAAATACTTTTTATAAGTTTGGGCTGCAATCATGAAACTAGTATTTAGTTTTAAGTGTGTAACTGTGTATATGATTTCCATTATTAGAGCTTGCATATTTTAAGTTATCCTAGAACAATTTCTCAACCTCAGTACCATTGGCAATTTAGTCGAGATAATTCTTTGTTGTTGTGGGAGGGGGGATGTCTTGTGCACTGTAGTGTGGTTAGTAATATTAGCACCTTCTTCTCAGTTGTAACAACCCAAAATATCTCCAGACATTGCCAAATGTATCCTAGGTAGCAAAAATTACCTGTGGTTCTAAACTACTCTCATGAAGCAATGATTTGAAAGTATCGCCCAGGAATTACTGAAGGTCTCCAAGTCCTTCCTAGGAGGCCCAAGGGATCTATACTGCTTTCAGAATAACACTGAAATGTTATTTGCCTTTCAACTCTGATTCTTTCATGTATGTGCAGTGCATTTTCCAGAAGCTACATGAGCTTTGATATCAGAGCAGATTAAATGATGGAGCAGATATGAAAATCCAGTTGCCTTCTATTAAACCAGATTAAGGACATTTTCAAATATGTAAAGCAATGCTGATCTTCTCACCAATTTGGGGGGATTTAAAAAATATTTAGTTTTCAAAAATGTTATTTATGTTAGCATAAATATCATAAATTTATTGTTGTTACTTAAATTGACTTAAAGACATATTTAATAATTATTTCAGTGTTAATTTTAATACAACAAATGTTAGTTAATATAACTCTCATAAACAAGTTTTTTAAAGGACTCATTTTTTTAACATGTAAAGGGTCTCTGATATCAAACCATTTGAATACTGCTGTTCTAAATATACAAGCTCAGAATATATACCACACCAATTTTTAAAATAGCTAAGAAAAATACAGTTGGAAAATTAACTGGGAAAACAGGTTTCTATTTTCCAATAGAATAGAATAACTCATATAAATCAATGAACTATTCAGTATGTAAAGTAAAACTTAAAGATTTCAATGCTTAAATATTTCTGAAGATAACGTATGAAAACCCCAAGAACAAGTAGATCAACTTAAAATAAAGATTATGAAATATTTAGGTCTACGAAAGCCCAATGAAAAGAAGAATAGAAACACTGATTGCCTAGATTATTACTCTAGTCACCTTGGCTAAAGAAACACATTGATTATTTTGGGAGAAGGATATATAATTTTGAATGTCAGAGTCCCCAGTTGATGATAATTTGAATTCCCCGGTATAAACATATACATCACTTAAATAATAGAGTTACAAATCCATATGGTAGATTGTAATATTTTGCTATATTTTTATGATCTCCATATATTCACTGTCAATATAAGCCAAACATGTAGTTACTAATATAGAGTAGGTACCTGGATTGAAAGTTTTTATTTACTGAAGGTGCATACATAGTAACCAAGAGCCTTCTCATCAAGAGAAATTCCAATTCAGCACAGATGCTTCCAGCCCAAATGGGTTTAAATTCTTACTTCAATTTTAGCCAGTTCTGATAGCTTAATTAGTGATTTACATTTACTGTGCCTAGTTTCCTCATCTGTATAGTATGCAGGAATAATAACTGTTTGTATCTCAAAAGATTATTGTGACATTTAAATGAATTAATATCTAAAGCTCTCAAAAAGGGATCGCATGTAAATTCTATGTGTGTTAATATTGACATTTTCCATCTTTTTCTATCCACAAGCTTCCAACCCTGTTTCCACACAAGTAGTTCCTCCATAATTTTGTCTTTTTTTCTACCTAGAATTTGAAATGAGTCAAATAGGTCAGTTCTTCAATATAAGAAATGACCATAGAAATTCATTTGTTTCTTTAATTGCTTGAGAGGGATTAAAAAATTCTTTTACTGGTTAATTATATAAACTTTACCTTTTCTCCAGGTCTAATGCATTCAGACCAAACAAGCTAAAAATATTCTAGCATCCAGAGCAATTTGTAGATAAACTTTTTGAGAAAAAGAAGACCAATTAAGTATGGATATGAATACATTATATTTCCCAAGAACCTATAATAAAGGTTAATTTTTAGAGATGGTTTAATTTAGTAGTCATAGATTTCTAATAAGCACACTAAAATTTAAGAATTATATTATTCTGACATGATTTTAAACTTTACAATTTTTTAGTCTAATAAGAGTAAAATTTGAATTGCTTATCACGTGTATGATGCTCTTCCTTAGCAATTAAAAAAGAAGATTTAACTTTTCTTGTTACTCATCTGACCAAATAAATATCTTTATATGATCACTGTGTAGCATTAGTTGATTATGCAGTTTTTATACAGTAACAATATACTTGGACTCACTGACACTATGACATAACTCTAATTCATGGCATGTCTTTTTAAAAATTGATACATAATAATTTTACATATTTATGGGGCATATGTGATATTTTGTTACAGGTACAGAATATGTAATAATCAAGTCAGAGTATCTGAGGGGGTCCATCGTCTCTAGTGTTTATCATTTCTATGTGTTGGGAACATTTCAAGTCTCTTCTAGCTATTTTGAAATATAAGATACATTGTACTTAACTATAGTCACCCTCCTCGGGTATTGAACATTAGAACATATTTCTTCTATCGAACTGCATGTTCATACCCATTAACCAACTTCTCTTAATCCTTCCAGTCTTCCCCACACTCCACATCCTTTTCAGTCTCTGGCATTCATCATTCTACTGCGTGAATTCATCATTCATCTGAGTGAGATCAACTTTTTTAGCTCCTGCACACCAGAGAGACCATATGTTTGTCTTTCTGGGCCTGACTTATTTCACTTAAGACTTCACTAGACACACTTTCACTTCTAGTTCCATTAATGTTGATGCAAATGACACAATTTCATTATTTTTTGTGGCCAAATAGTATTCTACCATGTATATGTATTATATTTTCTTTATCTATTATCCCTTTATGGACACAGTTTGATTTCATATATGTGCTATTGTGAATAGTGCTGCAATAAATGTGAGATATTGCTTTCATATACTGATTTCTTTTCCTTTGTATTAATACCAAATCTCAAATACTAAATACTGGATCAATACCCAGTAGTAGGATTGCGGATTGAATGGTAGCTCTATTTTTAGTATTTTGGGAAATCTCTGTACCATTTTCCATAGTAGCTGTAGTAATTTACATTTGTAACAACAACATATAAGAGTTCTTTTTTCTTCACATCCTTGCCAACACCTTTTATTTTTTGTCTTCTTTTTAATAATAGCCATTCTGACTGAGATAAATGATATCTTACTGTGGTTTTTATTTGCATTTTCCTGATGATTAATAATGTTGAGCATCTTTACTTATAACTGTTTACCATTTGTAAGTCTTCTTTTAAAAAGTGTCTATTCATGTCTTTGCCCACTTTTTAATGGGATTATGTGGTTTGTTTTACTGTTGTTTGAGTTTCTTACATATTGTGGATATTAGTCCCTTTTCAGATAAATACTTTGCAAATATTTTCTTCTATTCAGTAGGTTCTCTCTTCACCCTTTGATTGTTTCCTTGGCTGTGCAGAAGGTTTTTAGTTTAATATAGCTCCATTTGTCTACCTTTGTTTTTGTTACCGGTGCTTTTGAGGTGATAATCATAAAATCTTTGCCTGGACCACTGTCCTAAAGCATTCCCTCTATGTTACCTACTAGCAGTTTAATGGTTTTGGATCTCAGATTTAAGTTTTTAATCAAGTTTGAGTTGATTTTTGCATATGGTGAAAGATAGGGGTCCAGTTTCAATCTTATGAAAATTCCATTTTCCCAGCATTATTTACTGAATAGACCATTTTTCCCCCCATGTGTGTTCTGGGCACCTTTGTTGAAAATCAGTTGGCTGTAAATATGTGGATTTATTTCTTGTTTCTGCTCAACTGGCTTATGTGTCAGGTTTTTTTAAGCCTGGAACCTTACATAAATTTATCCAGAAACATTAAAAAGTTCATTAAAACAAAATTTAAATGACAAATCAAGTTTTCTTCAGTTATAATTGGTTATTCTTTTCATAAGCTATATAGTATACATAATATATCTAAAAGAAATTAGCAAAAATAAATTTAATTTTTAAATACATTTCTAAAAATTAAATCAAAGGATCAAAAATATGAAAGCAGAACAACAAAAAATTGACATCTCTACTCAAGGTTTAAATAAATAACAAGAGAGCACTGTGCAACAATAAATATTAATAAGATTAGCACATATCTTTGCTATTGTGAATAGTGCTGCAATAAACATACAAGTGCAGGCATCTTTTTGATATAATTTGTTTTCCTTGAGTAGATATCTCCTAGTGGGATTGCGGAATCAAATGGTAGTTCTATTGACATAGAGTGTGGAGTGATATAGAATGTCCGAGATTTCTCAAGGGAAGGAGTGTACATATATTTTTTTCTATCTATATTAATCTCTGGTACTTTAAAATCAAAGGTCTTTTATAAGGTCTTGATTGAAACTTAGAAGTTAAATGCAAACAATCATATTTAGCACTGATCTTTGTCTCAGGGTTGTACATTAATATTTTACTTAAAATATTTACAGTACCTATTAATATAATGCAACTGTGTACTAGACACCTCCTTCAACGTAGAGAGGAAATGTTTATTGTGAGACTACTTAATGAATATATTAAACAAAAGCACAAGTACCAAGGATATCATTCTATGCTTATGATACTACATTTCTATCTTTCTTCATTCACAACTTTCCTTCAGAGATTAACAAAGTTTCTATGAACCAGCACACTGAAGAATTTCACTGTAAACAGAAATATCAAATACAATCAATAAATGAAATTCAAATTTTTTTACGGAATAACTTTAAGATTGATTTTGATAATTAATTAGTTGTCCATAGACTGACATATTGCAGCTTATTATAATAAAACACAGAGAAACAACTTAAAAGCCAGTAAAATATGCTGACTGAATTGAAGAATAACTCATTAGCATAAGATATATGGATTGTTTTTTAAATGAAATCAAGGATTGTCAGAAAAATAAATCAAAACTGCCATAATAATCCCCATTTGAAATAAACACAATCAACATTTTCAAATATATCAACCAGAGTTGGCAAAGTCCTTTAACATATCTCTATTATTTGTGCAACAGCTGTTAAACAAGACATAACATTCATATCAACATTTTCAGCTTCAGAATTTGAAGCTCTAGTGTGATTTGATGGAGATATAATATTTAAATGTATAGAACTGTGATTTTGTTATTCTGTTTTATCTACTGATATTATAATCAATAAAATATATTTTACTAATTGGGCAACATCTATATAAAAATATAATCTTAAACATGACTTGATCTTTATAAGGCATAATAGAAAAATATTTTGAACCACCTTTGAAAAAGATAGATTCTCCTGACAATGTGAAAAGAATTGAAAATTTGTTCATGAGATGAAATATGAAATCTTGTTTCATTTTTACAATTATAGATTTGAATATAAAATATATTTAAGATTTTTCAAAGATCAGAAATGCATTAATGATAAAATATGTTCCATCTTGATTCTTATGACAATAATATTGCACAGTTGGAAACTTTTATATGTGAAAATGATATTCTTCAGAAGTGAGTCCACAGAAAAAGAGATCATCTTTATTAGACTTGAGGAAAAGATAAAGAGGTTAATGAAAACTAAACAAAAAAAACAATGTTCCAAGATGGGCATATGAAAGTCAGAGTGCTTTCAATTTAAGTTTCAGGTTCTAGTGTCCTCAAGTTTTATGAATCTCAGGAGATATATTTTCAGCCAAATAAGTAGTAGCCTTAGACTTTATGTCTCGTAACTGAAAAGAAAGCCAGTCAATAAAACTTAACACTGTTTTCTCATAGATCTTGAAGCTCTCAATAACAGTATTCTTCTTTTTAAAGCTCTCTTTTTACAGGGCACACCTAAGAATCAAACAAAATGAGAAAAATAACACAGAGAGAGAAATAATACAAGTAATGTGTTTAAATAAGCTATAATATATTTTTTTTTACCATTCGTATATTTGAAATAACAAACTATTAAAGAAGTTTATTCCTTTACACAAAAATTAAATAGTACAAAATGTCTAATTACATCATAGCTGTAAAACTTGAATTAAAAGCAAACTATGGTTGGAGCTTACCATAGTTCTTTACATGACCACTAAGAATATGGAAAGAGTGAATTCTGAGAAAATTAATGGGATTCTGGGGAAATGATAAAGGAGAAATAGATGCAGGTCACATTATCCTAAAACCTTTTTATTAAAGCAAGAGAGTGTTCTGAGAAAAATATATATATATATTTGAGAGGCACTAAACAATACTTATCCTTGAACTTAATACTTTAGAAATGAAAACTGAAGAAGAAAAAGTTTTCAACTTGGTAACTGAAAAAACAATGATACAGTTCTGCACCAGAAAAATAGAAGTATAAAGCAATTTTCAATTTAAGAATCAATATTGTTGAATTTTCATATGAGTTAAAGAACTTATACAAATGTTCTTAAACTCGTAAATGTCTATAGCACAATTGTATCATAATTGAATTAAATAAATTAGAAAAGATTTAACAGACTTAATTTGGGAGGGGCCACCATCATAAATGACTCACAAACTAAAGAAACACTGGTTTATATGAATATTTCAGGTGAATCAAATATATTTATTCAATAATAAATTTCTACTTTGTTATATAATTTATTACTACTTTATCTCATGCCTTTTTTGTAAGTAAACATACACACTGACCTCAAAACTCTCAAACCAGAAATAGTACAGAACAGTGAAATTACAATTGTCTTGAAACTGACCCAATTGTCCCAAAGAACTGATGTTCAACAGTTTCTTTTGAATAAACAAAGAAACAAACCCTTCTAATCTTAAAATCTGAGAAAGTTACATTTGTTTTATCTGAGTTCCTTTGTCAGGAAACCAATGGTCAGGCTCCCCAGATAGTATCAAGGAACTCAAACTTACCAGGTCATTGCATCTGGACAATAAGACTTCAGACTCCTTACCCATTATGATTACTTAAGCAACCCCTGCTTCCTGTTGACAGACTCCTCTTTCTCACCCCTCCCTAGTTCCTGTTTTCCTGCATGTAGTTACATTTCTTCCCTGCTATATAAATCCTTAATTTTAGTCAGTCAGGGAGTTGGATTTGAGACTGATCTCCCATCTCCTCAGCTGTAGCATCTGATTAAAGCCTTCTTCCATGCCAACACTTATTGTCTCAGTGATTGGCTTTCTGTGAGGCAAGCAGCAGGACCTAGAAAAATCCCTGATGTTTCAGTAACAGTCTTTGTTACCAAAGGAGCCTGAATTTAAATCTTATTTCTTAAGCTAAATAGATATGAAACTATTGGCTCATCTAAATTAACAGATACTAATTTTGTCTTTCTGATAATTGGGGAAAATAATAAGTATCTCTTAAAGTGATATAGGATTATATGAAAAACTAATTATACACAAGTAATTCGATAACCTAGAAAAAATGAATAAATTCCTAGAAAATACAACCTATAAAGACTGGGTCATGAAGAAATAGTCTGAAAATACCTATAACTAATAAGGGTGAATCAGTAGTCAAAACCCACCAACAAAGAAAAGCCCAGGACCAGATGGCTTCGCTGATAAATTCTACTAAACATTTAAAGAAGAATTAATGCTAATTCTTCTCAAAAGTTTCCAAAACTTGAAGAGGAAGGAACATATGCAAATTTATGTCATGAGGCAAGTATTACTCTCATACTAAAATCAGAAAAAGTTACCACAAGAAAAGTATAGGCCAATATCCCTGATGAACATAGATGTAAAAAGTCTTCAACAAAATGCTAACAAACCAAATTCAGCAGCACATTAAAGAATCATATTATGCCAATGCAAAAGGCCATATATGAAAAGCCCTTAGCTAACATTTTGCTCAAAGGTAAAACAAAAATAAAAAGCTTTCTTTTTAAGATCAGGAATAAGGCAAGGATTCCTGCTCTCACCATTTCTGCTCATTATGATACTGGAAGTCCTAGACAGAACAATTAGGCAAGAACAGAAACAAAAGACATCCAAATCAGAAAGGAAGAGGTAAAATGTGATCATTTTTGCAAATAGCATAGTCATATATGTAGAAAACTCTAAGACTCTACTAAAATAAACTGTTAGAACTAATAAATTTAGTAAAGTTTCAGGATAAAAAAAACATACAAAAATCAATTGGATTTCCATAAACTAGAAACAAGCTATCTGAAAAGGAAAATAATTCATTTACGACAGCATTGAAAAGGATAAAATGCTTAGGAATAAACTTAACCAAAGAGGCAAAATACTTTTACTAAAAATTACAAAACACTGATTAAATAAATTATAGAAAAGATAAATAAATGAAAAGAATCTCATAATCATGAATTGGAAGACTTAATATTATTAAAAAAAAGTCCACACTATCAAAAGCAATCTATAGATTCAATGCAACTCCTATCAAAATCCCAACGGAATTTTTATGGCAATAGAAAACCTAATCTAATACTTATATGAAACCACAGAGGACTCCAAATATCTAAAAGAGTCATGAGAGGAAAAAACAAAGCTGATCATTTTACACTTTCTGATTTTGTTAAAGGAGGTAGTTAGGCAGACATGAGCAAGGAAGGGTGAGGCCCTAGAAATGTCAGGTGACTGTCAGGTGATAGTAAGGCAATTGACAAGCAGCCTTCTAAGTGGTTATAGCTAGAATCAAAGAAGAAGAGCTGCCTGACCTACAGGAAACATTTGAGGCATGGGGGCCACAGCTCCCTGGTGAAATCTTAAAAGTTGGGCAAGTGCACCTAAGCAGGCACTCTAAAAGAAAAAAAAAAATGATGGAGTTTGACTGATACATGACCTTCCTCTGGAGACACTCAACTGATAAGAGAAAATTTCCACAACTCAGTAAATACACTGCAAATGCAGCCCCTCCCAAGTGCTGGCAAGCCACTGCACGTGCAGACAGCCTGGTCCAATGGAGGGATCATAAAAGAAGAAACACAAACTCTGAAATTAAGTCAACATATAAAAATCCCAAGGCAAATCCTGGGTGATGCACTTGACCCCTTAAGTGGTCTGCTTGGCCCTCTTCCGAGTGTACTTTTCCTTTTTTCATGATAGACCTTTATCTTTGCCTTCAACCTACCTTGGCCTCCTTAGCTGAATTCTTTTCTCTGAGAAGGCAAGAATCAAGTTCCTGTGGATCACTGTGACTCACTGTCAGTAACAATTTCAAAACGTACTTTAAAACTACAGTAATTAAAACAATCTGGTACTGGCACGAAAACAAATGGATAAACCAGTGGAAAATAATAGAGTCCAGAAATAAATTCATGAATATGTGGTTAACTGTTCTTAGACAAAGTACCTAGAATACATAATGGGGAAAGTATGAACTCTTCATTAAATGGTGCTGACAAAACTGGATATCCACATGCAAAAGAATGGAACCAGACTTTTGTCTTAACTCATAGACAAAATTCAACCCAATTTAGATTAAAGACTTAAAACCTGAAGTATAAAACTCTTAGAAGAAAATATAGAGAAAACCTTTATGATATAGGTCTTAGTAATGATTTCGTGGATATGACACACACAAAAAAGCACAGGGAATGAAAGGAAAAACAGGGTCCAACTACATCAAACTAAAAATAAACAAATTTATTGCCACCAAAGGAAACAATCAACAGACTGAAATGGCAACCTACACAATAAGAAAAAAAAAATTGCAAACCATGTCTGATGAGGTGGTGTATTAGTCCACTTCAGGTGTTGTATCACATTGCTGATAAAGACATACCTGACACTGGGAAGAAAAACAGGTTTAATTGAACTTACAGTTCCACGTGGCTGAGGAGGCTTCAGAGTCATGGCAGGAGGCAAAAGGCAGTTCTTACATGGTAATGGCAAGAGAAAATGAGAGAGATGCAAAAGCAGAAACGCCTGATAAAACCATCAGATCTCATGAGACTTATTCACTACCACTAGAACAGTGTGGGGAAAACCACCTCCATGATTCAAATTATATCCCGCCAGGTCCCTCCCACAACACACAGGAATTATGGGAGTACAATTAAAAATGAGATTTAGGTGGGGACATAGAACTAAACCATATCATTCCATCCCTGGCCCCTCCAAATCTCATGTCCTCACATTTCAAAACCAATCATACATTCCCAACAATCCCCTAAAGTCTTAAGTCATTTCAGCATTAACTCAAAAGTCCACAGTTCAAAGTCTTATCTGAGACAAGGCAAGTCCCTTCCACCTATGAGCATCTAAAATGCAAACAAGTTAGTTACTTTCTACATACAATGGGGGTACAGGCATTGGATAAATACAACCATTCCAAATGGGGGAAATTGTCCAAAACAAAGGGCTACCAGCCCCATGCAAGTCCAAAATCCAGCAGGGCAGTCAAATCTTAAAGCTCCAAAATGATCTCATTTGATGCCATGTCTCTCATTTGGGTCATGCTGATGCAGGAGGTGAATTCCCATGGTCCTGGGCAGCTCTGCCCCTGTGGCTTTGCAGAGTACAGCCAGCCTCCTGGCTGCTTCCATGGGCTGGCGTTGAGTGTCTGCAGCTTTTCCAGGCACACAGTGCAAGCTGTTGGTGGTGGATCTATCATTCTAGGATCTGGATGACAGTGGCCCTCTTGTCACAGCTCCACTAGGCAGTGCTGCAGTAGGGACTCTGCGTCGGGGCTCCAACTCCACATTTACCTTTTGCACTGCCCTAGCAGAGTTTCTCCATGAGTGCCCCGTCCCTGCAGCGAACTTCTGCCTGGGCATCCAGGCATTTCCATACATCTTTTGAAATCTAGGCGGAGGTTCTCAAACCTCAATTCTTGACTTCTGTGCACTCACGGGCTCAACACCAGGTGGAAGCTGCCAAGGCTTGGGGCTTGCACTCTCTGAAGCCACAGCCCAAGTTCTACTTTGGACCTTTTCAGCCATGGCTAGAGTGGCTGGGATACAGGGCACCAAGTCACTAGGCTGTACACAGCACAGGGAACCTGGGCCTGGCCCCCAATACCATTTTCTCCTAGGCCTCCGGGTCTGTGATGGGAGGAGCTGCTGTGAAGACATCTGACATGCCCTAGAGATATTTTGCCCATTGTCTTGGGGATTAACATTGGGTTCCAGGCTACTTATGCAAATTTCTGCAGCAGGCTTGAATTTCTACTCAGAAAATGGGTTTTTCTTTTCTATCGCATTGTCAGGCTGCAAATTTTCCAAACTTTTGTGCCGTATTTTCCTTTTAAAATGGAATGCTTTTAACAGCATACAGGTCACCTCTTAAATGCTTTGCTGCTTAGAAATTTTTTCCTCCAGATACCCTAACTTATCTCTCTCAAGTTCAAAGTTCCACTAATCTCCAGGGCAAGGGTGAAATGCAGCCAGTCTCTTTGCAAAAACATAACAAGAATCACCTTTGCTCCACTTCCCTAAAATTTCCTCATCTCCATCTAAGACCACCTCAGCCTGGACCTTATTGTTTATATCACTATCAGCATTTTTGTCAAAGCCATTCAGCAATTCTCTGGGAGATTCCAAACTTTCCCACATTTTCCTGTCTTCTTCTGAGCCCTCCAAACCATTTCATCTTCTGCCTATTAACCAGTTTTAAAGTTGCTTCCACATTTTGGGGTATCTTTTCAGCAACACCCCACTCTACTGGTAACAGTTTACTGCATTAGTCTGCTTTCACACTGCTGGATAAAGACATACCCGAGACTGGGAGGAAAAATAGCTTTAATTGAACATAGAGTTCTGGGGAGGCCTCAGAATCATAGCAGGAAGTGAAAGGCACTTCTTACATGGAGGCAGCAAGAGAAAATGAGAAAGATGCAAAAGCGGAAACCCCTGATAAAACTGTCAGATCTCGTGAGACTTATTCGGTACCATGAGAACAGTATGGGGGAAACTGCCCCCATGATTTAAATTATCTCCCACCAGGTCCCTCCCACAACACATGGAAATTATGGGAGTACAATTCAAGATGAGATTTGGGTGGGGACACAGAGTCAAAACATATCAGGTGTTAATATCCAAAATATATAGGAACCTTCTACAACCAAGTAGCAAAATAATAAATAAAAATAATCTGAGTAAAATATGGACAAAAGACATTTTTTTCAAAGAAAATATACAACAAATGGCCAATAGGCATATTAAAAGACACCCAACATCACTAGTTATCAGGAAAATGCAAATAAAATTCAAAATGAGATATAAACTCAAGTTTGTTGGGATAGCCAGTATCAAAATGAAAATGAAGACAAAACCAAACAAACGAAAAGTGTTGGCAAGAATTTTGAGAAAATGGAACTCTTCTACAGTGTTGGGAATGTAAAATGGTGCAGCTGCTATGGAAACAGTATAGAGCTTCCTCAAAAAAATTAAAAATAAAACTAGAATTTGATTGATCAGTCTCACTTTCCAGGCGCTTATTTAAAATAATTGAAATAATTGAAGAGATATTTGTACTCCCATGTTCGTTGCAGCATTATTCAAGCTGTGGAAGCAATATAAATGTCCATCAATTGGTGAATGGAAGAAGAATGTCATATATAGACACAGTGGAGTATATTACTCAGCCTGATAAAATAAGAAAATCCTGTCATATGTGACAACATAGATAAACATAGAGAACATTACTCCAAGTGAAATAAGCCAATCATAGAATTAAAAATATTGCATGATTGCACTTACATAAAGTAATTAAAGTTGTCAAAAATCACAGTAATAGAAAGTAGAATGGTGGTTGCCAGAGACTGGGAGAGGAGGAAAATTAAAAGTTGCTGTTCAATGGATAGAAAGTCTTCATTATACCAGATGAAGGAGTTCTTGAGATCAGCTGTGCAACATTGTCCTTAGAATTAACAAGACTACATTATGTACTTAAAAATTTGATGAGGGAAGGGCTGGGCGCGGTGGCTCGCGCATGTAATCCCAGCATTTTGGGAGGCCAAGGCATGCAGATTACGAGGTTAAGAGATCAAGACCATCCTAGCCAACATGGTGAAACCCTGTCTCTACTAAAAATACAAAATTAGCTAGACGTGGTGCCATGCGCCTGTAGTCTCAGCTACTCAGGAGGCTGAGGCAGGAGAATCACTTGAACCTGGGAGGTGGAAGTTGCAGTGAGCTGAGATCCTGCCACTGTACTCCAGCCTGGTGACAGAGACAGCTCCGACTCAAAATAATAATAAATAAATAAATAAATAAATAAAAAATGATGACGGAAGATCTTACTTTTTTTAACCAAAATAAAATATAGAAAACTGTCTTATTGATAGTAACTATAGTAGTATGAGTAACAGTCCTCTTTTTAAATCTATAATTGGCTTTCCCTAGAGTGACCATCTTGAAAAGGAAACATTTAACCTTGTTTTTTTTAACTGTCAACACTACTTGAGTTATTTGCAAACATATTTGTTGAATCTAATTATGGAATTTAGCTTGGTTTCTACATTACTGAGACTTTGGAGACTTTGTAACAAACTAAAAACAAACTAGCCAATGCCAAATGCTATAAAACCTAAGGAATACAGCAAACACTAAAATTGTATTTATGTAAATGTATATTTGTACTTTGTTTTCTCCAACCCACTTTCCATGTTTAACTTCAAATCCATATAGAGGAAATTGTGTAACTGTTTTACCAAGAACTCTATGTCCTTTTAGGTTCCTGACTTTGTAAGGGTCAACCCCATTAACCTATTAATAAATGAGTTTAAAATTAATTACTTAGTTCTTTAGTGGATGATAAATTGAATTGAAATAGAAATGTACTATTTTCTAGTCTGGGAACAGAGATAATTATAGATAATTAATAAATTATATCTCTGGTCCTAATATATATTCTCAATTCTCCAAGAATCTAATTAAAGTGTTCCTTATGTCTTATCTGTACATTAGAAATAACTGGGAAACTTTTTTAAAAACCCTAAAATACCTATAGGTCAATCCAAATCAGTTAAGTAAAAATCTCTAGAGCATGGGATTTGCTCTGGTATCAAAAGTTTCACAAGTGGTTCCAATGGGCAAAAATAAATGATTCAAGGGCTTGCCACAGTGGTGAAGGTTTTAAGAATCAGCTGATCTGGAGCATGTCAGGACATTCCCTTGTGAAAACTGTCAGAATCAAAACCCAGTCACTTGTGTCAAACCCTGACAAAGGGAGCTAGGGAAGGCCCTCAAGAAAGGGTTCTTATGCATATATGCCTGATAATAAGATCTATCACAAAAGACTGCAAAAACTATTGTCTTGCACAAAGATAGCCACAAATTTATACAAATAATGATTCTGCCAAGGATAATTGTCTCAAAACTATGTAAATTTCCTTAATCTTTACTTGAAAAACGCTTGTCTTCCTTTACTTCCCTAAATATGCCCACCATGTTACCATTGCAATGCTCAATCTCAAATAAATATCGTTTTCTTTTAGTGAGCCCCTCTGTCTGTGTGCTGTTTATGTTGACACCGTAAACCATGAGAAAGAGTTTTGCATGTCATACCTCCTGCCACTCAAAAGGAAGCACAAGTGATGAAAGGTTACTCTGGATTTTAGAAGCAGCACTTATGATACTTGAAAAGAGTTCTGTGACCCATTTATCAGGTGGGGTCTGGAAAGCGGGATTTACAACACGTCTAGAATAGAATAAAAGTGGTTTTGCCGTATTTGCTATAGGACACCACATATAAATTTTTAGATTCCTGTACTAGATAAAAATGCTCTGTGTTTTTCTAGAAAGTCCAAACCAGAGATGTGTGTAGAACCTAATGATTCTTGAATGACGCTATGACTTCTACAGCAGAGAACTACATTCCATGTGAAAAACAGTTTCGTAGTATTTTATGATATCTGGTGACTATGAAATCATCCAAGAGATAGAAGTCATCTAATCACAAGACATGAAGTCAGGCTTTGTGTGTTTGGCATCATCCTGAGCTGATCCAGAAGGCATATATAAATTGTATGAATAAATGGTCTAGATTCTCCCATCACCTCTACCTGTTACATTGGTACTGTTTTATTAACTCAGGTCTATGGCCCCACAGGTGATTTTCTATGACAACCTGGAAAAGAAAATAAAGTGAGCATAACTTATAAATGAAACCCATTCAGTAGTCCATAGACAGATTTTTTGGAGGTGGGGGGAATATAGAAATTGACCCTTCTTGTCTTAAAACATAAAACTTACATTTGTATAATCTGAGTTCCTTCCTCAGGAAATAATCCTTGGGCCTCTCACAAAGCAGAAACAAACTGAGACTCACCAAATCACGGCATCCAGACAATGAGATTCCAGACCTCATGATTCCTTGCTCCTCTCAAATTTCTGTTTTCCTACCTGACTGTCTGCTTCTTGTTGACCAAATCCTCTTCATTACCGCACACTAAATCCTGTTTTCCCACACATAGTTACATTTATTCCCTGCTATATAAAATGCCAGTTTTAGTTGGTGAAGGAGATGGATTTGAGTTTGATCTCCTGTCTCCTTGGCTGCAGTGTCCACTTAAAGCCTTCTTCCTTGGCAGTACTTGTTATCTCAATGATTGGCTTTCTGTGTGGCAAACAGCAGGATCTGGACAATACCTATGGTATTTCGGTAGTAGATTTTGGTTTCCTGACTGGGAACACACTGCTTGTGGCTCAGATGCAGGTCGCCAGGAGTTTCAGAAGACTTCCTAAGCAGCTATCTGACCCTTTTTTGGTCAGAGGTTGGCTTTAGTCTTTCTCTACTTGATCTTGCTGCTGCTGGTCCCAGCTGTATTCCTAATTCCCTAGAAGAACAGCCTTTGAAATCTGACATCTGTGTCTGTACAGGTGAGTGTCTTTTGAGGGTGCCAGACAATGTGTTATGTTCTGCCCAATTTGGGCAATTCCAAAGGAATTTCCATCTGCAGGTTGAACATGTGCTGTACCCTGCAAAGCCACGGTGGCAGAGCTGCCCAAGGCCATGGGAATTCACCTCTTGCATCAGCATAACCTGGATGTCAGACATGGAGTCAAACGAGATCATTTTATAGCTTTAAGATTTGAGTGCCC
Source organism: Homo sapiens (assembly GCF_000001405.40). Lineage (NCBI taxonomy): Eukaryota > Metazoa > Chordata > Mammalia > Primates > Hominidae > Homo > Homo sapiens. The sequence continues at coordinate 56,808 of NT_187595.1, forward strand.
CACTGGATTTCATACTTGTATGGGGCCTGTAGCCCCTTCATTTTGGCCAATTTCTCCCATTTGGAGTGGGTGTATTTACCCAACGCTTGTAGCCCCAGTGTATGTGGGCTACACAGTTATATTGGTACTGTTTTATTAACTCAGGTCTATGGCCCCTAACTTGCTTTTGATTTTACAGGCTTGTAGGTTAGTTGCCCCTATGGCAACTAACTTGCTTTTGATTTTACAGGCTTGTAGGTGGAAAGGGACTTGCCTTGTTTCAGGTGAAACTTTGGACTTGGACTTTTGGGTTAATGGTGGACTGAGCTAAGACTTTGGGGGACTGTCGGAAAGTCATGATTGTGTTTTGAAATGTGGAGACATGAGATTTGGGAGGAGCCAGGGGAGGAATGATATGGTTTGGCTGTGTCCCCACCCAAATCTCATCTTGAATTACCGTTTCCATAAACCCCATGTGTCTTGGTAGCGATTTGGTGGGAGGTAATTGAATCACGGGAGTGATGGTTTTATAAGGGGCTTACCCCTTCACTCAGTTCCCATTCTTCTCCTTTCTGCCACCATATGAAAAAGGATGTGTTTCCTTCCCCTTCTGCCATGATTACAAGTTTCCTGAGGCCTCCCAGCCATGCTAAACTGTGAGTCAATTAAACCTCTTTCCTTTATAAGTTACCACTCTTGCATATGCCTTTATTAGCAGCATGAGAAGGGACTAATACAAGCCCAAATGACTGAGAAAGGGATAAAGCACCCAGACTATTTCAGGTTTGACATTCTTGGGGCCTGTTAGTTACCACTACAGTACTTAGATTGTATTTGATTAGTTACAATGTATTTTAATAATGTATTTGAGTAGTTAGAATGTATTTTGATAATACGTTCCAATTACTCAAATACAATCTACTGCAGAGGGGGAGAGAGAGAGAGAGAGAGAGAGAAAGTTAACATAGTCATGGAAAATCAGAATTCCATTCCATAATTTGGCCTCCTTGCATGTGAATTCTCCAAAATTGGCCTGAATATAGTTATGAGCCAATGGAACAAAGGAAAATGACAATCTTTTGTAATACTGTTTGGCACCAATATTCTTTAGAAGCTGAAAAAATTTGGCCACTCTCTTGGCCTTTACAATATAACACTATCTTACAACTACAATAGATTCATTTTGCTATCAAATGGAAATGTGGAATGAAATTCCTTAAGTCCAATCTTTTATGCTCCTTTATCAGAGCAAACCTGATCAAGCTAAGTGTAAAATTTGGATGCAATGGATGAAGGCATTTAAGAAGGGTGGTGAGTCTGTGCTTTTCACTAAGATTCCCATATTACCAGCTTAAGATAACAGTCCCTTAGTTTAGGAAGCCTGGGCTACTATATAACTTCTGAAACCCCAGTCCTGCCACTTCAGCACTCTCTGCCAGCTGTCCTGAGGTTGGCTTCAGCTTCTCCAGTAGCTCCAACCTCTGAGACTCCCGTACCTCTGAAAAACCTATTTCTGATTCTTGCTAGTCTTCTCCTTTATGAACCTGGGGCTCCTACCCTAGTTCTGTTGGGTCCTTCCTCTATTCCCATTCTCTCCTTTCACCAAAAAGACATCCAAGAACTCTAAAGAAATGGTCTCGCCCTCTTGTAACCATCAGGGACACAATTTGACTGAGGTCTACTAACCCCCTATGCAGGGAAATTTCCTCTAAGGTAGGTGCATATTGGGGGTATAATTGAATAAGGACAGTCTGCTGGAACGATGTGAGTATATAGCCCATTCATCACCTCTGACTTACATAATTGGAAGCAGAATGATCCAGCTTCTAAGGATGACCCAAAACATGAAACTGATCATTTTGAGTCTACATTCACTACTCATCACACTATATGGGCCAATGTTCAGAGCCTCCTTAACATCTTGTTGATATATGATGAGTGTTATGTAGTGCTAGAAAATACTTAGGAGGAGGCTGACCATTTACATGCAGAAGATCCGAATAAACAGGTGAGGACTGATTCCAATATGGTAGTGCCCTTCCACAATCCAAACTGGAATCTGAACAATGAGAATGAAGGTAAAATCCAAAATTTTTTTAGCATAAGCAAGGTGCAGAAAATTAGACAAGGAATGAATGAGAACACATCAGCATTTTGGAAAGAATTTTGGAGGCTTATCAAAAATACATGGATATAGATCCATATTGTCCTGAGAATTACAAGCTAATTAATATGACTTTTTTTGGGCAGACTATGCCTGATATTCAACTTAATTGCAAAAATTAAAGGGCATCGGAACATTGCCAATATCTCAATTAATTGAGGTGGCATACAAGGTCTTTCTGGATTAAAAGCAGACTAAGGAACAACAAAATGAAAATTGCAGATGAAACCACAGGCTAAGTTCCTTGGAGCAGCCTTAGCTGAGTCTAGAAGGGCCTTCTCAGAAAGGGCAAAGGAAGAAAATCTTAGAAAGACCCCTCTTAGGGAAAGAAAACAAAAATGTGTGTACTGCACAAAAGGGAGACACTGGAAAAAAGATTGTCCTAAACTGAATAGAAGGGGTGGCCAATGCAAGTAGCTGGGTTCAATGACTATACCTGGAATGCCATGAGCTTAAACCTCCTTCAACAACTCAGACATTCCAATCCATGATCAATTTCACTCACCAAGAGCCTAGGGTAGCTGTTAAAGTGGGTGATAAGTTGATTGATTTTTTTTATTGATACCACAGCAACTTACTCAGTTTTAACTATTAAATTGACTAAACTTGGAAGGGAATTTATGACAGTCACTGGAGTGTCTAGCGAATCCTCTCAAAAATATTTTTTTCAGCTTCTATAATATACAATAGAAAATTAGGCTGGACCCAGTAGCTCATGCCTGTAATCCTAGCACTTTGGGAAGCCAAGGCGGGTGTATCACAAGGTCAGGAGTTCAAGACCAACCTGGCCAGCATGGTGAAATCCTGTCTCTTCTAAAAACACAAAAAAGTAGCCGGGCATGGTAGCAATGGTAGCATGTGCCTGTAATCCTAGCTACTCTGGAGGCTGAGGCAGGAGAACTACTTGAACCCAGGAGGCGGAGGTTGCAGTGAGCCGAGATTGCACCACAGCACTCCAGCCTGGGTGACAAAGCGAGACTCCATCTCAAAAAAAAAAAAAAAAGAGAAAAGAAAAAATTCTTCTTTTTGACCCACAGTTGTGTCTATATGCCAGAATGTATACTCCCATTACTAGGACAAAGTCTTCCTTCCAAGTTACAGGCCCAGGTGACTTTCTTAAATAAACAAGTGTATGTTGAAGTCCCTCCAGAACATTCATGTTCTTTGCAAGCGGACTTAATCGCACTTTTGACTATTCCTCAGGTCCTCCCCTCTGAAGTCCTTGAGAAGGTAAACCATAAAGCCTGGGCCACTGGGTGTCCTGAATGGGCCCATGTGGTACCAATCCATGTTTAGTTAAAATTGGGTGTTACCCCCCAACACCATACACACACTCTGCTCCAGATTAAACAGTATCCACTAAAGCTCCAGGATCAAAGGGGGCTCCAACCTTTGATCACAGCTTTCTTAGAATATGGGCTCCTTTTATGCTGTCATTCCCCTTAGAATACTCCTGTCTTGCCAGTTCAGAAGCCTGACACCCAAGGATATTGTTTTCTCTAAGCTCTAAGGGCAATAAATCAAATCATAGAAGACATTTATCCCATGATACCCAACCCTTACACTCTTCTTAACATCCTGTTGTGGAATTTTGCCTAGTTCTCAGTAATATACTTAAAGGATGCTTTCTTCTGCATCTCCTTGGCCCCTGAGTTCCAAGAACTGTGTGTTTAATGAGTGGGAAAAATTGGACTCTAACACTAAATGTCAGTATTGTCAGACCATGCTTCCCTAGGGAATTAAAAACTCTCCCACCCTTTTTGGACAAATCTTAGCCAAAGACTAGAGGGAAATAACCCTCAATAAAGAAACTATTTTGCAATATGTAGATAATATTTTGATAGCCAGTGAAACAGAGGGTGATTCCATTATCCATGCCATCAAAGTTTGAAATTCCCTCACAGGGAAATGGCACTAAGTTTCCAGAAAGAAGGCACAGGTCTCTCTTCCCACACTTCAGTAACTGGAATTCTAAATATCCCAGGATACTCACAATCTTCTCCCAGATTCAAGAGAGGCAATAAATCAGGTGGCAGTCCCGACTCTCCACAAACAACTGTGACTTTTTAAGGATTGCTAGTTTTGTTGAATTTGAATCCCTAACTTTGGGTTAATATCAAAAACTCTCTATGAGGCTTTAAAAGGAGTAGATAAGAAGCCCCCTTCTTGGAGTGGGGAGTGTCAAAAAGAATTTTAATCACGAAAGAGAAATTGATGACAGCCCCTCCTCTGTATCTCCCTAACCTATGCAAAGCTTTTGATTTATTTGTTCCAGAAGGACAGGGAATTAGACTTGGAGTACAAACTCAAGGTCTTGGAACCTTGAAATGTCCTGTGGCCTACTTTTTAAAAGAGCTTGATATGGTAACTAACGGCTAGCCTACCTGCCTCAGGGTGGTGGCTGCCAACTGTGATCTATTACAGTAAACTGAAAAGTTCTTCTTGGGGCAGTAAATGACAGTGCACACTGTGTGTTATGTGTTACCTCTACTCAAGCAAAAACGGGGCTATTGGTTGACAGCAGGCTGACTGGGAGAGTACCTAGCTATGCTTCTAGATAACCCAATTGTAACTTTTAAGGCTAGTTCTTTATATGAATCCTGCCCCACTGCTACCAGGGAAACTCCAGCCTTCTGTTCATTACTGGATTTATATAATTGATCGAGTTTACTCCAGCAGACCAGGCCTCACAGATTTGCCATTGATGGAACCTGACAAATTCTTCATTGATAGAAGCAGTTTCATCAAACAAGGAGTCAGAAAGGCTGGGTATGCTGTAGTTATTAATGAGCAGGTAATTGAGGTGCAAGCCCTGCCCTCTGGGACATTTTCGAAAGGCTGAGCTCATTGATCTAACTAGAGCTGTTCATCTGGGTAAGGGAAAGCAAATAAAGGTTTACACTGACTCTAAATATGCCCAGGCTCATGGGGCAATTTGGAAGCAATGGGGCCTCCTTACTTCAAATAACAAAGAAATAAAGCAGGATTCTCAAATTCATGAATCATTAGGTGCAGTAAAAATGCCAAAGGAAATAGTAATTGTTCACTGCCAAGGACACCAGAGGGCAGGCACCAATGTTGCATAAGGAAATACTAAGGCTGACCTAGAGGTGAAAAAGATTGCCAAGGGGCCCACTACCTAGCTGGCTCTTGTTCCTACACTTTGTTGAAAAACTCGCATCCCAAATATTTGGAGGTTGATCTTAAAAGAGCTGAGGAATGGGGGTTTTCTAAACATGCCAGACATAAATACCTTACAAATAACGAAGGAAAAATTATCCTTCCACAAGCTTTGATTAGACCAATCCTTGAGCAAATTTGTCAAAGCACCCATTATGGACAGGAGGCAACTCTATGCTGGACACGGCCTTATCCTGTTGGGCCTCATTTGCAACAAACAATACAAACTGTAGTTCAACGTTGTTCTACTTGCCTGAAAAATAATCCAAAGCCTCCAGAAGGCATAAAAGCCACCTTTAGGCAAGAAACTCAGTGGAAAGGAACATATCCTAGAGAAGACTGGCAATTGGATTTTACTATAATGCCTCAGAACCCTGGAAAATTTTGCTATTTGTTGGTTTTTGTTGATAAATTTACAGGTTTGGTTGAGGCTTACCCTACAAAGACTGACAAACCTACAAAAGTTATGAACGTTCTAATGAAGGAAATAATTACTACTATGTGCACATGTGTGTACAAGTATCATACAAAATATGAACTAAAAGAGGAATCAGATGGTTGAGGCTTAAACACCTTCTTCATAAGGGAGGGGAAAATGGGATGAATGAATAAGCCCAGTGCTGAGACAATGGTTCCAAGGAACAGTGGTCATCTTGCTATGAAGATAGAGTTTCTTAGGTACTCTCTTGGATCTACCCTCAAAGAATGCAAGAATATTTTACCTGAGTGCTGTGGTGACTACTAGTCTCTTCTCTTCTCTGGTAGTTGATCTTTTCCAATTATTTGATGAGTTCCCTAGAGAGAAGGTCCCAAGATAATTGCATTTTTTTCCCCAAAATAAGCTTTCTTAGATAAAGAAATCCCAGAGAATCCCTCCCTCCACTTGGGGCTGGGATCGAGGAATGAGGCCAAGCAAAGGACAAAGGGTCCTTGATTCTGAGGCAGCTTCAAAGGCCTCTCAACATGTCAAACTACCAGTCCTTGGGGTATCATTTTCTGAGCTCCAACATTATCTTGTGTGAAATTTCCCTAGAAGTCTCATACACGAAAAGCTGAGTTAGCTGTAGAGAGAAAAATTAGTAGCTGAGTAGCAAAGAATCTCATTAACACAGTCTCCCATTTCTGGAAATATGTCTGTCCAATTATACAGTTATGTCTCATTTCAGGAGATGGTGCTGAAGACTGGCTGTCAAAGTTAGGCCTCTATATACGATGCAAGTGAACAAATCTTTAATAAGGAATATTTCTTATTAGAGTGGATTCTTATGACTTATGCAAAAAATAATGGCTAATCTCTGGAGTTTCTGTAGAGTCTCTGGAGAACAGTCAGTTGAAATTACAAACGACAATTTTACAGATTTTTTTTTGCTTTGCGCTTTGCATGTACAAAGTTTTTCCAAATATAGGCTCTTGTGGTGATGTTTCTTCAAAGCCAAGTTGACTGATTCAGTTTGTAGGGTCTTAGGAAAAAGGCATTTTCAATTTCAGTGAGTCTAAGTCAGAATAATGGAAGAAAAAATTGGAAACATTGGTTTTGAGACTTGCAATCAGGAAGGAATTCAGAATTCAGTCTAAATTATAGGCAAATAACAAAAATTTACAATGAACAGTGCTAGGATCTAACAACAGGTGTACTAAGTTTTTCTTCTGAAACATTATTTACTCTCCTAGCCCCACCATGTTTACCAAAGATAATCATAGTACTTCCAATTTACTTGTAAAATAAATTGTCTTATTAATGTGACCTAATAATTTCCATAACGTGCAGAAAGAATAGTGAGTTATCACATAGGTTCTTTTTTCTATTGGCGTTGCTGAAAACCTTTCATAAAGAATCTGATATTAGATTCTCAAAAAGCCTTTGGAAACGTAGGAGCCAAGCCAAGGATATGACTTTCCCTCAGACTATATCTGTAATACCTGTACGAATTGGGTGAATTTATCAGTTTTTGAGGTCTCCAAAATATCTTGGCATTACTGGGCCTGTCAGAAACTGATGTTCTTTACTTACCTCAAGGACAGCAACTTTGAAAGGAAATAGACAAGATACCAGGTCAGTCTTTTTCAAAGTCTATTGGCCTTTTGTATTATTATTATTATTATTATTATTATTATTATTATTATTATTATTATTATTTTTGAGAGGGAGTCCCACTCTGTTGCTTAGGCTGGCGTGCAGCGGTGCCGTCTTGGCTCACTGGTTCAAGCGCTTCTCCTCCCTCAGCCCCCCGCCTCAGCCTCCCAAAATGCTGGGCTTACAGGCGTGATTTAGGGCGCCTGTCCCCAATCTCAATTTTATTTAGCAAAAATTGCTAAAGTCATGTAAACTTTAAAAGAATCTGGATTTATTAATTTATGAGAGTTCATTTATTTTTAAGTTGATTTGATGATATGTAGACAGTACACATACATAAAAATATGGACAAACATAAATATTTTGTAGCTTTGATCTTACAATTTTTCCGTAAGGCAGATAAAACTCACTAGTTTAAAAGCACAGTTAGATAAAAATGGTGCCACTGTAAATGCAACAAATTAAACTTTATCTGTCCCACGTGGCTAAGCCCTCATTAAGTTTTAGAGAAAAAAAATATAGCATATTTACATCTCAAAGCCCAGAGAGAAAATTAAAGCTTTCTCAAGCAATTAGGTGTGTCAATTAGACATAAAACAAAGAAAGGTTAAAAATGAACACCAAAGAAACAAACATAGGAATTCACCACATAATTTTATAAGGAGACCAATTTTGGTCTAATATTAATAGATAGCTTGCAATTTTGTCTGCCTTTTCCAACTGGACCACTGAGGTCAGGGTGGAGCCTGCTATCTAATAGGACCAACAAAGCATTTGCAGCTTCTTGGGGCCAATACTGACACATCTAAAAGGCAGACACAGCCAGAAGCCACAGCACTTCGATCTCCCGAAATCTAAGATCCCATTCCTACACTGAATCCCAGGTACCTTAGATCCATGGCAAAAGGCAGAGAGGGAAACACCATGGGGCTGAGCTGTTTAATACTCATAGAGTGCACCTCTGCAAGGACATTCCCTGAGGCTAGCGGATGACCCAGCACCAACTGGCCCACTCTATGATTAGCTCATACCCCACAGAAGTTGTATCCCTCAGTAGTGAGTGCTCTCAGTCTCCACGTGTCCAAACTACACTCATCATCATATCGTGGCCGGAGCTCCCAGATCCTCACAGACAAACCTAGCCAACAATTTTACTTATTCCAAATTGCCATTTACCATCAGTTTCTGTTTGACTTGGTCAGAAATCAGAATATTTTCTTATCTAAACTTGCAAATAAATGAGGAGGATAGAAAGCCAGTATTTGTTTCCTGCAGTAATAGCCAGTCATTGCAGCAACTATGAATTCCCTTTAACATCACACCTTTGCCAATAGCCCATTAGTTAGTACATACACAAAGGTCAATTGCTTTCGTACAGTTTAAAATAATTCTTGGTACTCCCCTAAAGCTGGAGAGATTGGGGCATTTATTGTAAAAGAAAGCAGAGCTTCAGACCTAAGTAGAACCCACCCATGACTTCTGAGGTTCCATGAGCAAGACAGATGATCCCAAAGTGGGGGTGAGAGGTGAAGCCAGCTGGACTTCCTGGGTCGACTGGGGACTTGGAGAACTTTTCTGTCTAGCTAGAGGATTGTAAATGCACCAATCAGCACTCTGTAAAAACGCACCAATCGACACTGTGTCTAGCTAAAGGTCTGTAAATACACCAATCAGCACTCTGTAAAAACTCAGCAATCAGCGCTCTGTGTCTAGCTAAAGGTTTCAAAATGCACCAATCAGCACTCTGTAAAAATGCACCAATCAACGCTCTGTAAAATGGACCAATCAGCACTCTGTAAAATGGACCAATCTGCAGGATGTGGGCCAGCCAAATAAGGGAATAAAAGCTGGCCATCAGAGCCAGCAGGGGCAACCTGTTCGGGTCCCCTTCCACACTGTGAAAGCTTTAGTCTTTCACTCTTCACAATAAATCTTGCTGCTGCTCACTCTTTGGGTCCACACTGCCTTTATAAGCTGTAACACTCACCGGAGGGTCTGCAGCTTCACTCCTGAAGTCAACAAGACCACAGACCCACTGGGAGGAACAAACAACTCCGGACGTGCCACCTTTAAGAGCTCTAACACTCACTGTGAAGTTCTGTGGCTTCACTTCTGAAGTCAGTGAGACCACGAACCCACTGGAAGGAAGAAACTTCGGACACATCTGAACATCTGTAGGAACAAACTCCGGACACACCATCGTTGAGAACTATAACACTCACTGCGAGTGTCTGCGGCTTCATTCTTAAAGTCAGCGAGACTAAGAACCCACTGGAAGGAACTAATTCCAGACACAGGGGTGTCTGGTGCCTTGGCTGTGCGGTTCAACCGGTCTCAGTGGCTAGAAGTCTCTCTCTTAGTTCTCTTTATGTGACAGCCAGAACTCTGATGCTTTCTTTTAGTGATTTTTTGTCCACTGACTGCCAAATGGAAGAGGTATGGACTTGAAGGGAAATATATCAATGATTAAGAGAACTGGATAAAGATCGAAAATGAGAAAAAAGAGAGAAGAAGTAAATGGAAGAAAGGACTTCCTAGAGGAGCCAGTTTGGGAAGACCGTAAGCTTCCCAAAAAGGTCAATGAAGTTTGACATTTTTCTCAGCAAAATATCATGCTAATAAGAAGCATACCCTCGGAGAACAGAACATATAATTTTTAATAAAGGGTTTCTGTCACCTGAAAAAAATCCCATGGGGGAAATAGGATTCAAAAGAGAAAACGCACAAAGACATTTTATATTTATATATATATATATATGTATGTATATTTGAGATCTAAAGTAGCTTTTAATTTAGCCAACTATTGACCACAGAGCTCATTAAAAAAATCTTTTAAAAATCTCTTTTCATCAGATTACAGCTAGGACAAAGAAAAAATATTATTCCTGATGTTTTGGCTTTTTTTGTTGTTCTAAAAAAACAAACAAAGAAATCTACCAAATGAGTCTTTTGCGACTTAACCAAGGAAGCACAAGCCATCTCCAAACAGAGACAAAGAAGCAGTCCTCACAAGGTGCAGAGCCACTCCCAAAGACAAGGAAGAAAAAAAAAGAGAAAAAGGAACACTTATCCACTGCAATTAGAATGTAAATTAGTTCAGCCATTGTGGAAGACAGTGTAGCAATTCCTCAAAGACCTAAAGACAGAAATACCATTTGACCAGCAATCCCATTACTGGGGATATACCCAAAGGTATACAAATCATTCTATTGCAAAGACACATGCATGTGTATATTCATTGAAGTACTACTCACAATAGCAAAGACATAGAATCAACCTAAATGACCATCAACAATAGATTGGATAAAGAAAATGTGGTACATATACACTGTAGAATACCATGCAGCCATGAAAAAGAATGAGATCATGTTTTTTGCAGGAACATGGATGGAGCTAAGGCCACTATCCTTAGCAAACTGAAAGAGGAACAGAAAAACCAAATACTACATGTCCTTACTTATGAGTGGGAGCTAAAGGATGAGAACACATGGACACATACAAAGGAACAACACACAGTGGGGCTTTTCAGAGGGTGGAGGCTGGAAGGAGGGAATCAGGAAAAATAACTAAATGGGTACTAGGCTTAATACTCGAGTGAAGAAATAATCAGTACAAGAAACTCCCGTGACACAAGTTTACTTATGTAACAAACCTGCATTTTTACCCCAAACTTAAAATAAAAGTTAAAAAAGAGAAATATTTAGACAATGTTTTTAGAGCTGGCAAGTTGATATGTTAGTTTTATATGTGGGCCTCAACCTCTTTCAGTTGACCATCTGCATGACCCAACAACCTGCATGACCCCGACAGGCCGCAGGCCAAGCTAAGTTCTCAGGACACAAAACAAGACAGACAGGAAAGAAATAGCTGCCCATGAAAAGGAGAAAGATAATTATAAATAGGTCTTCCAAACCAAACTTACACAAGAGTCACAACCTAAACAAATGATTTTCTCCTGCCAACCTGAATTTAGGGAGAAAGGGATAAAGAGAAATGTTCACCTTCCATTCTCCATCAGGTACTCCAGGTAGAGATCCAGGAGAGCTAAACTTGGTAAAAATTCTTATCTTTCTTTGTTAGCTTTTTGTCAGTTGTCCTAGGTCCTCAATTGTAGGCTTGGAAGCAAGTCAGGTGTCTCAGTCGTCCTACCTTTGTTTCTAGAACTATGGGGGCTGAGAGGGTGTGATCCCTTCTCTCCCCATTGTAAAAGTTTACAGCCTACACCCCTATAACAAAAAAGAGATTAACCAGGGAAAAACATAACAAAGTTATCACTATTACATGCACATGTGTCCATAAGTATCATTCAAAATATGAACTCAAAGATGGACCAGGTGATTAAAGCTCAAATGCTTTCTTCACAAGAGCCAGAAAAATAAAGGAATAAATGGGTCCAATGCTCAGGCAATGGTTCACAGGAACAATGGTTGTCCTATTAAGAAGATAATGTTTCTGAGGTTACTTTTTGGAATTGTTCTTGGATGAGAATTCTGTCTGAGTGTGATGATGATTCCTAGTCTCTTCTCTTCTCTAGTCATTGATGTTTCCTTGTTATTTCACAAGATCCCTAGGGAGGATGTCCTAGCACCATCTCATTGCTTGGGAAAGACGAGAACAAGACAAGGATAGAGGGACCTTTATTCTGAGGCAGCTTATAAGGCCTCTCAGTATGTTAAATTTCCTTTGGGAAATTTGGGGCATCACTTGCTGAGCCCCCAAAGCTATAAATGTTGGGAGGCCGAGGCGGGTGGATCACAAAGTCAGGAGTTCAAGACCAGCCTGGCCAACATGGCAAAACCCCGTCTCTACTAAAAATACAAAAAATTAGGTGGGTGTGGTGGCAGGTGCCTGTAATCCCAGCTACTCAGGAGTCTGAGGCAGGAGATTCCCTTGAACGTGGGAGGTGGAGGTGCAGTGATCCGAGATCGCGCCACTGCACTCCAGCTTGGATGACGAGAGCAAAACTCCATCTCAAAAAAAAAAAAAAAAACAAAGAGAAACTATAAATGATTTTTTAATAAGATCTATTTCCAGCATCCCAGTTTCTAAATGAATATTCTAGCCTGTGCTGAAGTAAGCCAACAAATAAAAGATATAAGAGGATCTTCCAGATTTACTAGGTTAAATTTTTAGAAAAGGTATAAGAAGAAAAAACAAACAAAATTAGCATTAACTTCTAATGATGTAATTTTGTTCATAGAAAATCCAAAGTAAAATCTAAAACTGAATTACTAGAATAATAATAGAATAATAAGAAATAATAGTTTTTTGGATATGTGATATTAAAAATAATTCATTTCCTTGGTTTTTGCAAAAAGTGACTAGAAAACATGGTAAAAAAGACACATATTTGCAACAATAGCATAAATATGTATATTTACAATGTATGTAAGAAATATATGGAGAAAATTTAGTTTTTCTGAATAACATTTCTAAAATGTATATATGAATAAGTACTGTCTTTGTGAAATGTCTGTTAATTTTTCCCACATTTATCCAAGTGGCTTTCCTTTAATGTGTACATGTCATGAAAGTTACACATATCATTTCTAATTAAATTTTATTGGCCTCAAATTAGCCACAAGACCAAATTTCCATTAAAAAAAAGGAAAAATGATTTGGGGAGTACATCTATCAGGCTACAAGAAGATTTTGATGTCGACTTCAGGATTATAATTATGAGAATTTTATCTTTGGTTAAAAATACTTTGACTGCAGTGGGGTGTGGTGGCTCACACTTGTAATCCCAGCACTTTGGGAGGCCGAGAAGGACGGATCACGAGGTCAGGAGATCGAGACCATCCTGACTAACACGTTGAAACCCCCGTCTCTACTAAAAATACAAAAAATTACCTGGGCATGGTGGCAGGCGCCTGTAGCCCCAGCTACTCAGGAGGCTGAGGGAGGAGAATGGCGTGAACCCAGAGGTGGAGCTTGCAGTTAGCCGAGACCACACCACTGCACTCCAGTCTGGGCCACAGGGCGAGACTCCATCTCACAAAAAAAAAAAAAAAAAAAATTTGCATGGAAAGGACATTTAGATCTAAAGCAACATTTCTGCTAGTCATATTGGATGCTATTTTTTACTTTAATAAACTAAAAATTTATGTTATCCAATAAGCAGATGCTTTATTACTTTCTGAGTAATTAACTACAGAAATAAATGATTTCCAAATTGCAAAAAATAATCTAAATACAATGCCTTGCTTTTTTCTAGAAAATCACAACTTCTCTGCAAATTATTCCTTTAATATAAAGGACTTCAGTGTTCATAGATACAGAACATAAATAATTATTTTAATAATAGTACATTATCTATCTCCTTTTATACTATCATCACTCGATATGGGTAAAGAGTTACATACACTTTTTATCCTTTTAATTTATATTGCTATAAACTATATATTCATGGAAAATAAAGCACTAAGTGATGCTGGTTTTCTTAAACATGGTTTAACTTATTTTCCATGGATGACACATTATTTAAACAGGTGGCATAAATGAATGCTTCCATTTCTAAAAATGAGGACAAGCTCCATACATAATGTATAGTTTTAATATTATTAATGACCAAGTCATTCTTTGGTTTATTTCTATTCTCTATCAATACCATGATGTAGCATTCTAATAAATCATTAGTGGGACACCATTGTAATGTCATCGTACAAAAATGCATCATCAAAACTATTGTGATAAAAGCTGCCCTTGTGATGATGAATAGGTCTGACTCATAAGCACTCATTTAGTACATACCTGCTGTAAAATTAGGAAGGTCTTTGAATAACCAGATAAGCAATATTGCATTGATGATAAAAAATATTGTATGTTTAATTGTTACGCATTTATTTGTGCAAACAAAAGCTGAGTGGAAAGTCCATTAAGGAATTTTGGAGAAAAGCTTCCTATATGGTCTGTTGTTTTCTGAATGAGTTTTGTTCAAAATTTTTCATTTCCAGGATGATTAATAAAATAAGAATACAAAAATATTCACTGAAAATATTCCTAATTCTTTAGAAGTCTACTATATCTAAGAAAATATTTCACTGTTTGATTTTATTTCTTCCAAAATGCTTAAACCAATTAGTAAGTTGCTTGTCAGTGGCAAGGACAGGATTCATGTAGAGTACAATCTAAATCTAAAGCCAATGCTTAAAATTTTTATTACCTAAAGTCACTCATGAGTCGGTACAGACACTTATTTTGTTTTTCTTTTTTGTTTCCCAGTGGAATACTTTATTAGTGCAACATCTGTAAATCTACAGATGTTTTCCATTGTCACCATAAGGTGTAGGATGATCAAGGGATCACAGTTATTATTGAATGAACTATCTCAGCTTACTGGAACCATTTTATAATCAACCACTTGCTTGATGAGCTTCTTAGAATATCTTTGGTAGTCTTGATAGTTAAGTGGGCCTCTTGAGTGGTAAAAAGTGGTGAAAGAGTCTTAGATTATCCTTTCTGCTCTAGCGGTCCTATACCTCTATAGATACCACAGCTGGGTTCAAGGGCAAGAAATTTGGGAAATATATCAGTTTTTGGTTGATGCCAGTCAACTTCACATTGGATCTATTACCTTCATTCTGGAATAGGTGTTTACTTTCTGATTGACTGAATTACTGAATCATTCCTCCCTTCTTTATTTTAAATATCTACTAGACATTTTCTGTATGCCAATAGAAGATATGCTGAAAGTTGAGAATGAGGGAATGAAATGAACTTGGTCCTCTATCTAAGGGTTTCACAATCTATAGGTAAGAGCAGACAAATAAGTTCAGCAACATAAACAATTTTAAAATAAACACATGTTCATTAATAGGAAGATAATTTTTATTTCAATAATTTAAATCCTTAAAGTTTGTAGTAAATAAGTGAACATTTCTTCCTTTATTTAAATATCAGATATTAATTTTACTGTATCAAGCTAAGTATTTTCTTTTAAGAATTATCTAACTATTGAATTTTTGGTAAATTGGCTCTAAATTTCTATAAAGATTTTGAAACAGTATTGTGTTTTCCATTGTCACCGAAGGTGTAGGATGATAAAGGTATCAAGTCAGTAAAAGCTACAATTTTCAGTTAGTAAAAACATATTTGTTGTTGTGTTTAAGATAATCCCTGCTTTTTGTTCCCTAAATAACTAATTCAAATGTTTATAATGCTTTTTTTTTGTTGCTGCAATTATTTGTTTCTCCTTACCTTTAGACTTCCTAGTCTACTCACGCCCTTTTCAGACCCTTTTAACACAGCAGCCAGAAATACTGAAATTCTTGTTAGATTAAATTGTATCAGTGTACCCGGTTGGGCATGGTGGTTCACACTTGTAATCCCAGCACTTTGGGAGGCCGAGGTGGGCAGATCACCTGAGGTCAGAAGTTTGAGACCAGCCTGACCAACATGGTGAAACCCTGTCTGTACTAAAAATACACACACACAAATTGTATTAGTGTACTTAGCTCAAAAATCTTGTACCAGCTTTACATTTGCTCAGGTAAGAGACAAGTACTCTATGGTAGCACGCAAGGCCCACGTGACCTCCTACATCTGCAATCTCATGGCCCATGACACAATACTCTTGCCCTCAACATTCCAGGCACACTCATTCCTTTTCTCTTCTTGATCAGGCAAAGTGAACCTTTGTCTCATGGCCTTTGCCCCTTGCTGTTTCTTGAACCAGAGAGACTATATAAAAGAAACTTTGTAAATGTTTTCCACAAAACCAATAGTAGTCTTCTCAATTTACAGAGCACTAACAATTAATTACATGTTGTGAAACCAGAAGATACTTTTAAAACTACCAGTTAAATACAAAACTAAATTTTGATAAACCACACTATGAGAAAGACTAAAGTATTTTTCTATCTCTCAAGAATATACTGTAAGATTTTATTTCAAATGAGTGAACAAGGAGTAAGTATATGGCTAGAAAACAGAAAAAATTATTATAGCAATGGATCAGAAAGTTACAGGTATGTTATATATTTATATAAAATATATATTTATAAAATTCTAAATATATAGAATGTTAGTTTCTTGGATTTATCTGGTGTGGTATTTCTGAAGCTGAGGGGTTAATCTGATTGGGTTTGTCAAACAAACTGCCCTGTTTGCTTTTGGTCCCTTGCTTTTGGCTGTTGTTTTTTTGTTTTGTTTTGTTTTGTTTTTTTCCATAAAGCTGAAGGCCATGCTACTGAACGCCGTAACTTAACCTTCACTGGCTACATTATAGATAACATTTATGAGTCACCATGGTAACAGCTGCTTCAGTTATTTTTCAGGAACTTCAGGCAGCTCCTGTCCTGTTCAAACCAGTTGCAAATACAGACCCTTCAACAGAGGCTGAGCACAGTCCTACTAGGTGGCTTTTTGACATGAGAAGGCCCAAAACACCACCCTCAGATCAAGCTACTGCCTCCGTTTTCTGAACATATGCCCTAGAAAAAGCCATGAGCCCTGACTACACTTGTGTAGATCACTGATTACTTCATTTTCTTGTCCCTAACCCTTATCTTCTGGGAGGCAAATTTGAGAGCTCTTTTCCTGCCTCCTCGCTAGGCTCCCTAGTGAATAAATCTTTTCTCTTTTGCAAAATGTGTTGTCACAGTGATTGACTTACTGTGGGCGTGGGCAAAACAAACCTGAATGAACTGATCAGTATCATTTCCAGCTTATTTAAATTTATAATTGGTAGTGATTTTTTTTCCTCTATCCAAATAAATGTTTACTTTCATAACAAATTTTGGATTATTTCTTAAAGAGAGCTCCTGTAATTACAAAAACTTCAAGCCTCATAAAGCTGAGATCTGCCTTGATCTTAGCCCACAAGAAGGCACAATTAAGTCATTCAACTCCTTTTTAATCAAGGTTCTCTGAACAAACTAAGAAAACTAGAAACTCTGACATTTCTGTGCTTCCCCCTCTCAATATTTTTTATTACTGTCATATTCGAAAATCCTAAAAAAGTCCCATCTGTAACATATGATTGGAATTGAAGTTATAAAACCTCAAGCTCAAAATTACTTTTATTTTATTTTATTTTATTTATTTGTTTATTTTGAGACAGAGTCCCACTTTGTCACCCAGTCTGGAGTGCAGTGGCATGATCTCTGCTCACTGCAACCTCTGCCTCCTGGTTCAAGTGATACTCCTGCCTTAACTTCCCAAGGAGCTCGGTCCGCGGGCATGCACCACCACACTTGGCCAATTTTTGTATTCTTAGTCGAGATGGGGTTTCACCATGTTGCTTGGGCTGGTTTCGAACTCCTGACCTCAAGTGATCTACCTGCCTCAGCCTCTCAAAGTGCTGGTATTACAGGCACGAGCCACCACACCAAACTGAAAATTACTTTTAGCAAGTTGTATAAAACTTATTTATTGATTTAAACAAGGAGAAAAAGTCTCCATGTATTTTTAATTATATTTGTTTTTGGGAAAATGAATATAAATTAAATAAACATTTTTGTTTTTCTGTTAAACTTTATAGTCCAAATTACATACTTGATAAGATAAACCAATGTATAATTTTTTTTTTGTTTTTTGTTTTTTTTGTTTTTTGCGATGGGGTCTTGCTCTGTCACCCAGGCTGGAGTGCAGAGACATGATCTTGGCTCACTGCAGCCTCTGCCTCCTGGGTTCAAGCAATTCTCCTGCCTCCACCTCCTGAATAGCTGGAACTACAGGTGCCTGCCACCACCCCTGGCTTATTTTTGTATTTTTTGGTAGAGACGGGGTTTCACCATGTTGCCCAGGCTGGTCTCAAACTCCTAAGTTCAGGCAATCTGCCTGCCTCAGCCTCCCACAGTGCTGGGATTACAGGCGCGAGCCACCACGCCCTGCCAAGATTTTAAAGACAATATATTTATTATTTTTCTTCTATGTAATACTAACTTTACTAACAATTGTCAATCATATCTTTATTTGTGCCAATTACTTTCAGAGGACACAGAGTTCTAGTAAGATTATTTTCCTTCATTGAAATAAAGGGTGTACCATTTTGCCCTTAATTAAGTGCCACTTGCATGGCAACATTAATAAGCTCCAATTATATAAATTCAGGGGAGTTTCCATGTTAAGGAAAGGAAGCTGGAGAGTAAAGTGATGATATATTAAATGTTTACTTTTCATTGAACTTTGTGTCATTTATCATTTGTGGAATGAAAAATGCCATGGTGTGTGTAAATCAATAAAAAGTATTTTCATCTCTAATAGAACGCTGAGTACTCCATTAAATACACATTAGAAATATAAGTCAAAACACAGTTTGCCATTTAGGATAAAAGTAGTCCATCAGGCCAATGAGGAAAGAAGTTTTAATACTTTTATTACCATTGTCTAGCAAAATGCTGGTTTTAGAATTTGACTCAATATCTATAGAAAATAAGAATATTACCATGTCATGTTATAATTTTATGTTATTATTTTCTTACCTCTTATTCAAATAAGATAACAGTTAAATCATGACTAGGTGCCTAGCTGTGTCATGTGTTTAAAACTTATGTTTAAATTTTTATGCCAATCTCCCTTTTTTATTGATTTACACTACTTTTTTTCGGTTATACTATAGTTACTGACAATGTTGAAATTTACATGAACTCTGTAATTCTGGAAAACAGCTATGGATAAAGAATCGCACCACCATTCTTTCATGTTCTGGAAAATGACTCCTTGCAGAGTCACCCTTCCTGGTAAGACTTAAGTAAGGTTCACAGATGACCCCTTTGTTTACCTATGACAAGGCCAGACACCGAGCCTCCAAAATCTCATTCTTTGCCTCAGATCATTAACTAAATTGTTTTGTTCTTACTGACCAATTAGAACAAAGTGTCTGTTAACCAAACTTTGTTAAAAGATTTTTTCTTTCCCCAAGACTGCTGAACATTCATCTACTCTCAGCCTGAGCCAGCATAGGACCCCTCTGAAAGGGCCACTCCTGGAGAATAGACGGGCTTGAGCACAAAACATTTGCTAATGTACTCTCCAGTCATGGCACCCTTTCAATTCACCTCCCCATGCATGTTTCTTTTACCCTTGGTTACTCCTCTCTACAAAAGAAAAACCCTTTTGCCTAACTCTTGAGCAACATGCAGATCTTCTATTCAGAGCATTCTTTATATTGCAGTAGCCTTTTCAAATAAAGTCTCTCTTGACCCAAGTCTAGATTTGTTTTTAATTCAACATTATATAACATATTTACATCACGGAAAGTTCTGCGAAGGGTATATCTGAACTCTCTGCACTATTTTTGCATCTGTCTTGTAAATCTCTTGAAAATAAAAAGCTGAAGAAACAAAAGGATATTTCTCAGTTTATACATTCTAGGCCTCTTGAAAATTATTTATAAAATTAATAAATTGATTACTACAGAGAAAAAAAAAGACCAGAAAGTCATACAGTTTAAATATGACATTTAATACTTAGTATCTACCTAAAGGCTATAACCTCAGGAGTGGGGATACTTTGTTTCTGGGTGAAGACTTCACCTTGATTCTTGACACAGTTCTCTTTTACATAGGACAGCATCCCAAGATCTATCCCAAACCATTTTCAGAAATAGCTTTTATATTGGAAGATTTAGAGGGTCTTGTACTTATAAATAATAACATTTCAAAAAGCTATTTTAAAAGAAAACCTGATTATATGTGAAAAAAGACAAAACATTTTTAGATGTGTAAAGGGGCTATGTTAGCTCAAAAGAATCTAATGCTAAGGATGTGTGTGTGTGTGTATATATATATATTTGTGATTGAGTATATGACAGGCCATTAAATTTTGAAGGAGCAAATTTTTTCTTGCTATTCTTTCTCAATACTGATGGAAACTCTCTTCTTGACCAAATTCTACTCAGGCTCCGGGAAACTCTCTTCTGTACTGGGCTTTGACTTTTGAGTTTCCAGATTTATCTTTGTATTGTTTAGCTTCAGCAAGTGTCCTGCTGAGTTATTTTACCCCAAATCATTACCTATTCTTGATATCTGATCACCCTCAATGTAGATCATGTTCTTCATCCTCCATTTTTCCCCAGATGAGGTCTGATCACCCTGGCTTTCCTTCTGCAAAATTCCTTGGAGGTTAATTTAGCTAGAATCCTCCCTTATTCCAGTTGTCTCCTCTTAGTAACTTTCCATCCACCCCACTCCCACTCTGTTCCTTGGCTATACATTTCCACTTGTTCATGCTGTATTCACAGTTGAGCCAATTCTCTCTCCCCTACTGTGAAACCCCATTGTAGGAACCCCCTTGTCTTACGTTTCTTTAACAAGTGTCATAAATATATATTTTTTTCTTTTGCAGTACAAATCTCATATTCCTGGAGCTTATCTGATATCCTCTTTTCTTCCAGCTTCACTGAGAATCCTAGTCCCATGCAGACCATTTCTCCAGCCAGTGACCTTATGTGTTGTCTTTTGCATTAGCCTTAGACTACCTTCAATTCCATACATCTTTATGCAAACGCCATCTTCTTTTCACTATTCACAGACTATAGCACTATACTTTGTCTTTTTTCTGGACATCTTTGGTACTGTTTTACACATATACTTATGGAATTTTAGAAACTATTTATAAAGCAATAAAAATAGCATGAAAGTGTCAACCACTGCTGCTGTCATCCAATTTGTGTTCTACGGATTTCTTAGTTACAGCTTGTGTTGAAATTATCTAAAGATAATTTTTTAAAGACATGTGACAGCAAAAACATCAGTGGTTGCCAAATAGAAAATAAGAGGAGAGAATAGAGTCAAGAGGTGGAGCACCAATGATTTTTAGGTTGGTGAAACTATGTTGTATGATACTATAGTGTGGAATGTAAATTATTTTACATTTCCAAATGTGCAGACTACAAACACAGAGGGAATCCTAATGTAAACTATGGACTTTGGGTGATTACGTTGTGTCAAGGTAGCTTCATCAATTGTATCAAATATACTACTCTGGTGTCAGAGGTTGATAATAGAGAAAAGTATGTATGTGTGTGAGCAGGGGTATTTGGGAAATCTCCAACCAACCTAAATTTTGCTGTCAATCTAAAACTGCTCTTAAAAAAATTGTCTTTAATAATGTTAATTTAAAAAGATGCATTTGGTAGACGCTTATTAAAATCCTCTTTAATATAAACCAGATAAAATTTTCTATCACAAAAGGAAATAATTGTTCAAATTTGAGAAACTTTGAGTATCACATCCAATTTACATAAAATTATGAAAGATTATCTATTACTTTATTATTTTTATTACATCACTCTTCACTGTTTTCTTAATAAAATGGAAAGTAAAATTTTAAAAGCAGAATCTTCTCCCCGTATAGGCTTGTGACTGGCAGACAAAAGGTAAGTTGGTAATGAAAATCAGAAGTAGAAAGTAAACAGAGTGCTTGAGGCAAGATCCAAATACTCCCTGAAGTGAGAGATTTCAGAAAATTTTATTTAATATAGGTAAGCTGGATTCCTCTAGAGGTCTGTATTTATATCAGATCTGAGGTACTTCCCAAAGGAATTCCTGATGAGTTGTAACAATATTTTAAAGCCTAAAGTGGAAGACATTTATCTCAAAACTCCCTAAGTGTGTAGAGGAGAAGGAAACACTCAGGAAGCAATGTCTGCATCGTGGATGTCAACTCATGTTGTCAGATTTTAGAAGGTATTCAATGCAATCTTGCCATGATCATTGTTCTATATATTTTGCTAATTGAATAGCACTAATTTAATATGAAAACATCCCTGTGAAATATCAAAACATGTAGGAAAAGGACAAGAGTTTGGCCGTTAGCCATCTTTAAAACCTGTATTTCTACAGTTTTATCCAAGATTTAATTTAAAAACTAGCACTTGGGACAGTGAAGAATAGGAGAAAGAGGAACACCTGCCAGAAAATCATTTTTCTAACAATACGATATTAAGTTCCATTGAAAAGGAGAATTGGAGTGAAACATTTTTGTTTCTAAGAGTTGCAAACCGAATAAAGTAATGTGAAACTATTAAATGAGGTGACCTGACCTGCTAAAAGCAATTTAAATAGCTAAAGGATACATTCAGCACTTTTCACATGTGGATGGAAAGAGTTGTCTTCCAAAGGGTCATTTATGTCAGAAAGACTAAAACATGGGGGAGAATATCAAAAAATTGCCCTTTGGTTACTTAATGGAGAGCATTATAAATGACCTTGTGCCTAGTGAATGTAGTTTGAAAAGATTTGGTCAGCTTGCACTGGTGAGTATAATACAATTTTGTAACACATTAATACCAAGTTATTTTCAGCCAGGAGGCAATTTTTTTTCCTGGTAGAGCAGGTATTTTGTGGATACGATTTTAATTTGTGATTACAGAATAGATCAGTGTTTTGAATTCCAAAACTGAACAAAACCTGTTGTAAATAAATATATTTATATACTAATCCTGAATATATAATAGTTACTGTAAGAAAAATGTATGCTGAGAAATCATTGTTGGTCTTCATCAAATAATATATTGATAGTCTATATTTCAAATTATCAAGAAAAAGTAGTATTCATTAAAGTTTATTCCCAAAGAAAGGTAAAATAATGAGTTACAGTTGTAAAATACACAATAACGTTAGTTGAGTGTCCCTAATACAAAAATCTGAAATCCAAAAATTATCCAAAATTCAAAACTTTTAGATCATCAAAATGACTTCATAAGTGGGCCTGACATCATGTGATAAGTCATAGTCAAAACCCAGTAAAAATTGTTTTATGTACAACATTATTTGAAATATTATATTAAATTATCTTCAGGCTATGTGTAAAATGTACATATGAAACATAAATTTCATGCTTAGCCTTGGGTTCTGTCCCCAAAATATCTCATTATGTACATGCAAATATTCCAAAATCCAAAAAAATTCTTAAACAGAAACATTTTTGTTCTCAAACACTTCAGATAAGTTATACCCAACCTTTATATCTATTCAGAAAAAGGATCAGAACAAAAAATGAGAGTAATAGAAATGAAAATTGTACCTGACAAATATCTATTTCATAATGCATTTCTGCAAAGATAATTGTGAAGGCTTTTGTCATTTAATACAGAACAGCAAATAGAATATCCTAAATATCAAATACTGGTTTTCTGCATGTTATTACATATGGCAAAAATGTGATTGGAAATGTATTTACCATGGAGAAACATGTCTAATTTGTTAAAATTCAATTGTGCCTTATAGGTTATGATTCTAAAGTTGTTTGCTGTTTAAAACTGATTCAGGTGATCTCTCAGAGCAAATGCAACTTTATTTGGAATACTAAACTGTAAGCTCTGGTAAGATCAGAGATTTCTGTCTATATCCAGGAGATCTGGGACATGGTAGGTACAAAGCAGGTTAACTATGACTACTTGCCCGAGTCCAGTGAGACAGAACACTCACACACACAGCAAGTTACACGAAGTGGGTGTATTACTCACAGATAGGCAATAAAGGACAACAGAAACCTGGGATTCATGACACGTTGGTCCTCCAGGGCTCAGGTAAGCTGCATAGGGAACATGGAATCTCATCTCTGTGTATCCGTCCCTTGCACTGCAGCTGAGGGATTCCCAAAAGCAGCCTGCCCTAGGATTTTATACCCTGAGAATAACAGGGATCATTGGGCTATAGCATTGAATGGTATCCTCTTTCTAGGTGGGACTGGCACAAAGCCCAGGCTGTTTAAGTCAGTCTCTCTTTATCTCAGGAGGTTGCATTCCCACCACATGGCACAATTATTTCTGAGACCTACAAATGAGAATTGGGGAAGAACTGGTTTGGTCCAAGGTCACACAGAGAATAGTCCCACAGTGGACATGCAATTTTTATGGGTTGAGTGCATGAAGTAAATGAATATGGTTTCAAGTATATATAGGTTTCCCTGCAATGTTAATGTTTCTATTTTTTTTTTTTTTTATTATACTCTAAGTTTTAGGGAACATGTGCACATTGTGCAGGTTAGTTACATATGTATACATGTGCCATGACCGCATATTTTTTTTTACTCTAGAAAGTTCATTTGAAAAGTTCTATCATCATATAATAACGGGAAAATGAAACAGTGTTAGGATGGTTTCACCCTTGATATTTATTAACTGTGTGACATTGAGCAAGTTACCTAGCCATTTTATTCACAGTTTAATTTCTAAAAATCGCTATTTGTTGCACATTATAATTATATATGCCATATAAAATGTATTTTTTTAAAAATTATGTTTACTATCTATATTGCCTCATATATAGTTTTCTTTTTAATAAAAATATGTTGGGGTGGCAATTTTTTGAATGTAAGTCTGAAGTTCAAAAGGTTGTTTTCAAACTAATGAATTTTTGTAGCATTTCCCATATTTCTCATCATCATGGCCCTGATGTCTTTGGTAGCAGTATCTACATTTTGAAGAAATAATGCCATATCAATACTAGTATTATTACTATTTCAATTTGTCATTTAGTGCATTTTATAAAGAACCTGACATTTCAATTCCGGAAAAAAATCTGCTTAACTTTATGTCTATGTAAGTTTACCTATATAATTTTTTACTTGACTAGATAGAGGCAAGCACTTTTTAACTTGCTTTATAGAGACTTGCCTTTAAGATAATTACAATCACTGTGTTCTTCACATAGTGCTGTGATTTTCTTTTCATGAATGTTTACCTGGTTGATTCTAAAGAGCTGTCACATTTATTTATTTGTTTCACAGTGTAAGCATGGTTTTGTGAGAGTTCAATGGAAGAAAAGATAAATGTCTACATTGTAAAATGAATGTATTGGTATGTCAATGAGGCCATAGACCAATCGGTCTGAACAAACTTATCTTCCTCATCCTCTGTTAAAGATGGAACTCTTGGAGAATTGGAGGGAGTTTCTTTACTGGACACACACACACACACACACACACACACACACACACACACATATACACACACATACATACATACACACACACAACTTTTTTTTTTTTTTACTGTAGAGTTCATTTAAAAAGTTTTATCATCATGAAGTAATGAAAAGAAAAAAGAATTAGAAAGGTTTCACCCTTGATAATTATTAACTGTGTAATATTGGGTAAGTCACATAGCCCTTTTAAGTCTGCATATATGGCTGTTTGCTTATGTATAGGCACAAGGCTAGGTGCCAGGAATAGAGCAATGAATGAAAGAAATCTGATCCCTGACTTTTCACAGGAAACTAGCCAATAGTTTCCTGTGAAAGATAAACATTAAAGAGATAATTATACAATTTATTGTAATTGCAATAAATTCTACAAAGGACAAGTACAAGATACTTGGAAAATATATATCAGGAATATAGGACCTAGTCTTAGTAGAAGAGAAGGCTCCCCCTGAAAAGTGGGTTCTATATTAAAATTTACATTGATTCTTCTTTTTGTGATGCTGCTATCACAGATGTTTATTTTAAGGCAATATGTTATTTCCTTTCTCTGTTTTCACTGGAATTCCATTATCCAAATTGAGTAAAAATAATTCATTTTATAATATTATTCATGTAAATATTTAAAGATAACACCTCACGGAAACATTAAAAGTTTTATTCTCAGGGGAAAGAAAGAAAGAAAAAAAAAAAAGACTTGGTGTTTCACCATAGGAAGGACTTCAGAAATAAATCCCTAGTTGCAAACCTAGACCATTAGTTAATATAATACTTTCGTGATAATAACCAGGAGAAAGACCACATTTACTCAATAATTGACTCATTTATTTAAACATGGGCATTATTAATATTATACTCCATGTTAGATACTATTTTCTTCTTTATTCTTGAAACTCTAACTCTAGTTCTTGAAACTTTTGTATTGAATCTGTTTATGTACTTAGTTTACGAATAGTTACTTGCAAAGAACATTTCCTGCTATTTTCCATAGATCATTTACTTTCACTCTCTTAAGATTTGCTGTTGAATCCTTCATGACATCCTTTAGGACTACATGGGTACTTTAACAACCAAAATCAAAATGCTAGCTCTCCATTTAATTTATCCAATTAATTAGAAATATAGACACTAAGTTATCACATACATTTATTTCAGTCATTAACAATTCAAACTTGTTAAGCATGAATAAAATTGAATTAACATTTGGATAATTTATGAATAAAATTGTTTTCTTTTACATTTTTTAATTTAATAATTTCATTATAGTAACTTAATTTATTTAGCATTATTTTAAAATAATTCAATAAAAATATAAAAAGTATTATTTTATAATTGTGAAAATTTTAATATAATGAATTGCTTTAGCTAATGGACACAAATGACTGAAAATGGTTTATCAGTAAGTACAGTAGTTAGGTGAGAAGACAGGAATACTTTAAAGTACATTTACATCTAGATGGAGAAAAAATTGATTCATGTTCTCAGCACTTGCTCTAATTCCTAGTTTTTCTCCTCACCATATATAAGTGATTAAATTATGTCATTGTGACAAATAGTCTCTTTAAGCAGGGATTTACTTAATGGGATAAAATAACCCTAATATGAGAGATGGGTCATTAGTCATTTTCTCCAAACTCTCATTCTGGTGAGGAACAGGGGCTGTCTCACAAAGGGTCTGAGTACTTGTAAGTCCTTTCGATGGAAAAAAAAAAAACAAAACACGTAGTCTTGGAGAACATCAGTGAACAGCTTCAGGTTCTTCCAAGCCTCTGAGACAGGTAAAATCTCTGATCAGAACACTTCTCATGGTGTGGGTGCTTTGCTTATGTGTTGGCAGTCAAAGCCATCTGCATGGATTTGAGATACAGTTTTCAATAAGGGTAAAAAAAGGAGCAGATTTAGAACTTAATTAGAAACATGCTGAAGATAAGGTGTAAGTTAAAAAATATTCAGAGAACTAGCAAATGTAATGAGGACAGATTCTGAAGTAGACAACAACTCTTGATGACATTACACTCAATAAATTAGAGCCAAGAGATTTTTAACTAAAAACATATGTATTTTCTTTGAGTGTATATTATATACAAGCAATTGTGAGAGGCACACTTCTTTAAAGTAAACTGATACAAAAAGCATGGACATGTATGCAGTTTATGATCTGCTACAGAAAGCCAATTTTTGGAATAGTAATAGCAATTATAACACAGTTCATGCTATAGAGATATATGCAAAGCCATGAACACTGTAATTGAAGAAAGTACATCTGTTTGATTATCAGTGTATCTCCTGGCACATTACTTACACATTGGATATACAGAGATATTTGAGGAGTTAAAATGATGACTTCTGATGTCTTGGCCAACACTGTGAGGCCTCAGTTAGTGTCTGAAGTCAAGGACACGGCTGTATGCACTGATTCTTTTCTTCTTTCCATATGTTGGCATCATTGCAGTAATCTCTGGAGTTACCTGTATCCTGGAACTGATCTTTTTTTGTGTGTAGGATTCAACAGTACCACTACCTTAACATGTTTGGCTACACACTCTTATATATGTAAATTCTAAAAATGATAACTTATATACCTACTCAAAATTTTAAAAGCAGAAAGAGGGAAGGAAGGAAGGAAAGAAGGAAGGAATGAAGGAAGGAAGGGAGGGAGGGAGGGAAGGAGGGAGGAAGGAGGGAAGGAAGGACTAAAGAAAGAAAATATGTAGAGCAATATTAGAAGGCAAAATTAGAATAAAATATGTAAAATATGTGTTCAGTTATAATAAATACCTTTAAATTTAAACATAGTGATTAGAAGGTCATATTTTAAAATTTAAAGCAGTTTTAGACAAAAGAGAAAAGAGAAATGGCGAAGGACTTAAACTATAATTATTGTAACAAAACTTTAAGAACAATATTATCTTTGTTACTTTTTGTTATTCATGTATAGTTGAGTTACGATCAGATTATTCAATTTGACATATGGGAAAGTAGCATTTTAGAAGAGTTTAGGAACTTACTCAGAATAAATATGACTGATACGCAGCCAAACGTGAACTAGAACTCAAGTCAGATGGCTATCATTTCCTTGCTCCTAATACTACAGACTTCATCCAGTTATTATAGTCAGATGTTATTTACTCAAATTTTTGTGTAATTTAATTTGTTTAACTAAATTCAACTTTTCATGATCAACGTTGCATGCAAAGAAAGTCTACATTTTTGGCAGTACCAAAAGAACAGACTGCTCCTTTGATAAAACAGCAAATCAAAAGGAAGAAAAAAACTTGATCAATGTACACTTGGGAGAAGTTCACAGTGCCAAAATGTAACTTTAAACCAGGTATTTCAAACTCGTACAAATGAAACCTCAATAGCATTCATTCCATTGAAGATAAAAATCAATAAAATATGTTTAATCTGGGAGAATGGTGCACTTTGATTGTGTCACTTCAAAAGGTGTTGAAATTATACAGAAGCAACAGTTTCATACATTTTTGAAACTATTTTCAGAAGTATTCGTGCTTTGGGATTATCGGAGTTTCTTCAGATTTTTTTGAATCATTATCCAAAATGCTTAGTCGCCTTCATCTTTCATCTTCATGACATGACACTTTATCACATAGTGCGACACCTGCTGCAGGCATGGCTTTTCTTGTGAGTAAGCTGCCACCTAAGAATCATTTGAAAGGTAACAGGCACTTTTTCATGGGGTTGTTTCATTTTTCTTGTAAATTTGTTTAAGTTCCTTGTAGATTCTGGATATTAAACCTTTGTCAGATGGGTAGATTGCAAAACTTTTCTCCCATTCTGTAGGTTGTCTATTCACTCCAACGATAGTTTCTTTCGCTGTGCACAAGATCTTTAGTTTAATTAGATTCCATTTGTCAATTTTGGCTTTTGTTGCAATTGCTTTTGGCATTTTTGTCATGAAGTCTTTGCTCATGCCTATGTACTGAATGGTATGGCTTAGGTTTTCTTTTACAGTTTTTATGGTTTTGGGTTTTACATTAAGTCTTTAATCCATCTTAAGTTGATTTTTGTGTAAGGTGTAAGGAAGGGGTACAGTTTCAGTTTTCTGCATATGGCTAGCCAGTTTTCCCAGTACCATTTACTAAATAGGAGATCCTTTCCCCATTGCTTGTTTTTGTCAGGATAGTTGAAGATCAGATGGTTGTAGATGTTTTGTGTTATTTCTGAGGTCTCTGCTCTGCTCCATTGGTCTATATGTCTGTTTTGATACCGGTTCCATGCTGTTTTGGTTACTGTAGCCTTGTAGTGTAATTCAAAGTCAGGTAGTGTGATGCCTCCAGCTTTGTTCTTATTGCTTAGGACTGTTTTGGCTATACAGAGTCTTCTTTGATTTCATATGAAATTTAAAATACTTTTTTTTTTATTTCTGTGAAGAATGTCAATGGTAGTTTGATGGGAATAACATTGGATCTATAAATTACTTTGGGCAGTATGGCCATTTTCACAATATTGATTCTTCCTATCCATAAGGATGGAATGTTTTCCATTTGTTTGTGTCCTCTCTTTTTTCCATGAGCAGTGGTTTGTAGTTCTCCTTGAAGAGGTCCTTCACATCCCTTGTTAACTGTATTCCTAGGTATTTTATTCTCTTTGTAGTGATTGTGAATTGGAGTTCATTTATGATTTGGCTCTCTGCTTGCCTATTGTTCATGTAAAGGAATGCTTGTGATTTTTGCACATTGATTTTGTATCCTGAGCCTTTGCTGAAGTTGCTTATCAGTTCAAGAAGTTTTGGGGCTGAGAGGATGGGGTTTTCTAAATCTAAGACCATGTCATCTGCTAACAGAGACAAATTGACTTCCTCTCTTCTCATATCAATACCCTTTATTTTTTTCTCTTGTCTGATTGCCCTGGACAGAACCTCCAATACTATGTTGAGTAGGAGTGGTGAGAACAAAGGATATGGACAGACACTTCTCAAAAAAAGACATTTCTGCAGCCAACAAACATATGAAAAAAGCTCAGTATCACTGATCATCAGAGAAATGCAAATCAAAACCACAATGAGATATCATCTCATGCCAATCAGAATGCTGATTATTAAAAAGTCAGCAAACAATAGATGTTGGTGAGGCTATGGAGAAGTAGGAACGCTTTTACACTGTTGGTGGGACTGTAAATTAGTTCAACCATTGTGGAAGAGAGTATGGCGATTCGTCAAGGATCTAAAACCAGAAATACCCCTTATTATTTTCTCTTGTCTGATTGCCCTGGCCAGAACTTCCAATACTATGTTGAATAGGAGTGGTAAGAACAAAGGACCTGGACAGACATTTCTCAAAAAAAGACATTTCCGCAGCCAGAAATACCATTTGACCCAGCAATCCCATTACTGGGTATATACCTAAAGGAATATAAATTATTCTATGGTAAAGACACATTCACACATATGTTTATTGCAGCACGGTTTACAATAGCAAAGACATGGAATGAACCCAAATGCCAATCAATGATAGACAGGATAAAGAAAATGTGGTATATATACACCATGGAATGCTATGCAGCCATAAAAACGAATGAGATTATATTCTTTACAGGGACATGGAAGAAGCTGGAGGCCATCATTCTCAGCAGACAAACACAGGAACAGAAAACCAAACACCACATGTTCTCACTTATAAGTGGGAGGTGAACATTTAGAACACATGGTCACAGAGAGGGGAACAACACACTCCAGGGCCTGGTAGGGTGTGGGATGAGGGGCGGGAACTTAGAGGACAGGTCAATAGGTGCGGCAAACCACCATGGCACACGTATACCTATGTAACAAACCTGCACGTTTTGCACGTGTATCTCTTTTTTTTTTTTTTTTAGAAGAAATAAATTAAAAAAAAAGAAATGTAACAGGCAGGTCACCTTCATTTAAAAACAAAAGCCTCCCTATTTCTTGCACAGAATGCTTGAATTTAGTCAAATTACATACTGCTAAAAATGAAGACTGATGGGTACATTTGTAATTAATTTATTTACTAGTATGAAAGATGGTACTTTTTTCCTTAAAATGTATCCTTTAAAAGTATTAAAAGGTCTAGTACACATAGAGGATGAAATTGTCAGGTGTGTCTTGAAAGCTGTCATGTATCAGTCACCACCCTAATAATCCACAAGAAATTAATTGCATTCTACATATTGTAGTTAATTTATTATTATTTTATTAAACTTTGTCTAGTTCCTCAAAACTCCCAGAATCCATTTTTAAGAGCAATAAGCAAATGCAAGGGAAATAAGCAGAAAGCAAAAACATATGACAGGCATAGGATGCACTCAGTATGTCTAAAGAAATGTAATTTTATGTAATTTGCCTACCTCATTCATAGACACTCAGTAGTCTAAAGGGGCTCCAGAATTAACAATCTATATTACTTTGTTTTCTTCAGGAGAGTAGAACAACCCACTCATTTTTTCTTTAGAGAAGACTAATGGATTTCTATGCTAAATAGTTATGATGTTTATAGTCCATTGAAACCAATATAAAATATGGACAAAAGTATTGTAAAGGCCAAATTTTAAAGGTATGTAAGACTGACCTACTGCTATAGGCTACGGCAGAAATATCCTACCATATTACTTCATTACATTTCTTCATAGAGATGAGAGAGATATGAAGAATCTATACATCTGAAACAAAAACGAAGGATGATATTCATTTGCACCTTACAATTTGGCAGCCAGAATGATAGTAACTGTCACATATGTTTCATATTTAATTCTAAAAAGGAGTGAGATATTTGTGAGCATAGGCATTTTGAATATCAATAAACTGAGGCTCAAAAATGTGAAGTAATTTGCTCATATTTAATATTTTATCTGTAAAAGCAGCAACAGAAAAATAGAAAAGCTTCAATATCTGAGTTTTTCTCACATCATTTGGATTAAACTTTTAATGATGCCTGCAGAATACATTAAGGTGTGGTGTAGATGTCGGTGCTTAAACATATAGTAAGTATATTTATTTGTTAACTCATGCAATCAATGATACTTGAGCATGTAGTAGAATGTGATAACCACTCAAAATATTAAAGGAAATAATAATATATAAGACTCAATATCCCAAAAGGCCTTCAGAGTAGAGAGTTAAACAGGGGAACAGGCACTTCTATGATTTCCATAAATGTTATGAAAGGTGTATTCACATGGTAGTATCAGAACAATGGGAGAGCACATGCCAACTCTGCCATGAGCCTCTTGGTATATCTGAGCAGAGTCAGCTCTCAGTGTGTGTGTGTGTGTGTGTGTGTGTGTGTGTCTGTGGGGGAAGGGGAGGGGGAATGCTGTATGTGCCCATCTCTGGCACAGCCAAGAGTATTTGAAAAGGGTAAGAGGCAAGAGATCATGTGGTCTAGACAGCAAGAAACGATAGTACTTAAGTACATCTAAAGTATAAATACTATAAATAGGGACATGAGTGTGGACAGGGATGGAGGCTCTAGTATGCTGTGTGAACACTGTTTTATCCCAGCAAATGTAGAATCACAGAAGCGAGTTCCATTATGTTTGTATAATAGCTAGATCACTCTTGTTGTAGAATAGGAAACAGGCTTATGGTTAACAGGAATGTAGGCATAGAGACCAGTTGCAGAAAAATAGAAGAGAGTTGATAATTTGAGCTAAGATAATAGAAGAATTTGAGAAATTGGTGTGTGGATAGATTTTGGGAGGGTAGCATTATCCAGATGCATGAGCCTACCTACATGGCTCTATATATTGTATTTATATTTACTATAACTTCATAATCCATAGTATACTGTGTTCATAGCTTTACTCTGTGGCACTTCTATTGTTCTTGCATTAGCTATTGCTCAACGTTCCTGCTCAGGATCCTATGTGTATAAGCAGTCATGAATTTGTTCAGTTCTGAAAACTTCTCAGCCATTAACTCTCAGAATGCTGTATTCCCTTCATTCTCTCAATCTGAAATTCCTCTTAAATAAATATTCAGAAGTGTTCATTTTGAGGCTTTCTAACCCTGCAGTAGATTTTCATAAATATACTACAATAAGCCCTGATCTTAAAAAAACACAAAAGTATTTTTTGACTCTAGGGAATAGTGGATATTTTCAGAATTGCTCATCCTCCCTTTAGAACACTTTAGGCCCCTTATGCTTTGGAGAGGCTTCTGGAACTGTTGTCTTTCTAACTTTTATTGGATTCAACTGGATTAGAACAATTACTGGGCTGTGTAGTATAGGTACTCTGTCCCTTTACTTTTTTAAC
This sequence comes from Homo sapiens, assembly GCF_000001405.40. Taxonomy (NCBI): domain Eukaryota; kingdom Metazoa; phylum Chordata; class Mammalia; order Primates; family Hominidae; genus Homo; species Homo sapiens. The sequence goes on from NT_187595.1 coordinate 90,310, forward strand.
TCCAGCAGAAAGGAGAAGTATTTAAAGAACATTAAGCTAATATGCCCCCACTTTCATGCCTACTTGTTTGGGAGAATAATTTAAATATATCAGAGTTGGTTCTGTGGGTATGGTCATCTATTTTATTCTGCTTGGGTCTGGGTTCAGGTCCCAGTTCTGGCCCAGGACTTGTTTCAGTGCCCTTATATCCATATTTTCATATTTCTAATACTCTTTTACACCATTCTATATTTACAAGTATCATGTAATAAGGGCACTTCTCAAGTTCTCTACTTCTCAAAATGTATAATACCAATTTACACACTTACTATAATAGAAGATAGCATAAAGAGGAGCCATAAAATGAGTTTCCAAGTGCAGCTATTTGACCTCTGCTCTCCAGCCGGCATCTGCACCCCTACACACATAGCATTGCCATGCGCTTCACAAAACCATGTGGCCTACAGGATGGAACATTCACCTGACATAAATTTACTCTTATGAGCACCAGACCCCTCCACGTTTTTCTTTTCCCAAGCTTTCCGTGATATTCTGCAACCACAAGAAGCTTGGTTTTATTTTGAGCCTCAATATTTTCACATGTTGTAAAAAATCGACAGTAGATTAATAGTCAGATATACTTTTTGATTCTCTAGATCACCTATAGTTTTCTCAGCTTTCTGTGCCTTGGATTTGGCTAAAAGTCCCTTCCCCTGATCTACCACCAAAAACAAACACATTTTGTATTTTACTTGCAAGTCTGCAGAGCCATGGTCACAGCTACCAATTGCTGTATTAAATCCTCTCTAGTAGTCAGTATTCTTTGGTGATACGTGACAGAAAGTCAATGCAAACTACTTCAAGTTCAAAATGAGATTTATTGGTCCATGTATCCAGGAAGTGCAAGGGTGAAACTAAGGTTGAGTGGAACCAGGAAATTAAATGTCTTCAGGATTCTTTCTATATCAGTCTTTTACAATTTTCTTTCTAGGATAACTTCATTGCATTCCTATGCAGCAGGCATCTCTGCCTGAGAGACATGTTGATGGTAGTTCTGGATTTGACGTGAATACTTTCACGAAGATGACACCTCCACACTAGCTGTAATTAGTAAAATCTTAGAGAATGAATCAGGTGTTCTGGTGTGAGTCATGTTATCTCCTGACGTCGGGAAGTAGATATTTTTAACAAGTTAAGAAATGGAGGCAATGTTAGTCAAACTACGCAGGTGCACACACACACACATACACAAAGTGTGTATGGAAGAAAAAACAATCTCTGGCCTCATATTTGCAGAAACCTCTGCAGAACTGAAGATTCCATATACTTAGCTTATCTTCTTTAGCTTGGCTTCTCTTCTTTCACCTTTTACTTTCTGTAATACAAGTAGTGTAAAGGCTGTCTTTGGTCTGGTAACTGGTGTTTTTAATAAAGTGTGCCTTTTAGGAGTACTGCTCTTAATATTGACTCTTCTTTAAACTACTCTTCTCTTTTATTACATCTTCTGTTACAGGGTCTTACACTTCAATTCTTAAGGGAATTACTTTTCTCCTATACTTTTATTAGTGATCAGGGCGAGCACAAAGATCTATTTTATCCTGACACTCCTACACGAAGAGCTACCACTAAGGGCTGTCAGACTGCACCTGGCACAATTGGAAGAAAGGCAATTCACCTAGACTGTGAGTTCACCAGGTTCCCCGCGTTCAAGTATCCTGAAACATTTGTCCATTGTTACTAAAAACTCATTTGCTTTGAGAATACAGTTTAACTCCAAATGTTGGATATCTAAGCTTTCTCTAGAACATTCTCAGCTTTTGATACTTCATAATAGCCAAACTAGGTTAAAAGAGTTCCTCATTTATTGCCCAATATTGGGTTTCTTAATTGTACATTATGCCCAAGTTTAGGATCCTCACAGCCAATGTCTTTTATCACATCTGTAACAGACATAAACTTTGCAGAAATTAACATTAGAAGTATCAAGGATTAAAAATATCTTCTCAAGCCTTCCTTATATTCTTACGCAATCGAAAAGCAACAAACGCCATCAGGAAGTCCTACTAAGACTATTTTCACATTCTCTATGTCTGAGCATTGAATAAAGCCCAGGGATTTAATCTTACGTCGTGGCCTTAGTTAGTTTGATGTTTGTTTATTTTTATTAGCAGCCTCAGAGCCTTTCATTGGCACTCTCAAAGCAATAAATAACTCAATGAACACATCTGTTCCAGATTACCAGTTCTCTCTGTTACTGTAATTGTTCTACTTAACAGTTTGTCTTCTAGTCACTAGTATGAAGTTGTGCACTATATAATTATTCACAAAGTTTCTAGATTAGGGCTTCAAACATAATCTATGTATATAAAGGCTTATGATCTCAAAATTATATATTTCCTTAATATTTATTTTAAGAAAATAGTCTTTCCAAAAAATATCAACACACTTTTGAGTTTTTCAGTTGTTAATTTGCTGTATAACAAATTACCACCTATGTAGTGGCTTAAAACAACACCCCTCTATTTTCTCACAGTTTTGTGGGTTAGACATCCAGCCACTGGTTTCTCTGCTCAGCAACTCACAAGGCTTAAATCAAGGCGTTGACCTGCCAGGGCTGTATTCTCATCAAGATTAGTTTCTTCTTCGAAGCTCAGATGATTGTGGCAGGATTCACGGTCTATAATTATAGAACTGAGGTCCTCATTTCCTTGCTGGCTACCATCAGGGGCCTCTGTGAGCTCATAGACGCCATCAGCATTTCTTGCCTTCTATCTTTAAGCCAGCAGAAGACAATCTGCTTTGCATCAAATATCATTAAGGCTTTGAAGAATCGTTTTCACCAGGAAGAGGCTTCTCTCTTTTAAGGGCTCACCTGATCCAATCAAGCCCAGTGAGGATAATCTCCCTATCTTAAAATCAAATGATTTGAGGCTTTAGTTATATTTGCAAACTGCCATCACTGCAGCACCCAGATAAACATTTGATGATTAACTGGACAAGATGTGTGATACATTAGATGCTGGGAATCCTGAGAACTATTGTAGAATCCTGCCTACCACAACAGAGTGTAGTTTCATTTATTCTTTCACTAATTTCCTGCAGGAAAAAGTGAGATCATGCTATTGCTCTCAGTGAAATTTACTATTATTTGAAGATAATGAATCTGGAGTAAAAATAAATATGATTTACAGTACACTCACATACACCCACAAATATAAATCAGTAGTCATATGAGTGAATGCTTAAGAAATATCACCATCAAAAATCAAAAGGGAAATGAGGGAAGCAGGGAAGAAGGTGGCAGAAATTAAGCCTACACCCTTCATGCCCCCTAAGGAACAGCAAATTTTAACAACTATCTGCATACAGAAAAGTACTGCCACAAGAACCACAAGACAGGTGAGTAATCACAGTACATGGTTTTAATTTCATATTGCCGAAAGAGGTATTGAGGAGGGCAGGAGAAACAGGCTTGAATCTTTGATGCCACCCCATCCACATCCCCCAGCATCAGCCGGGCAGTACAGAGAGTCTGTGTACTGGGGAATGGAGAATGCAAGGACGGGGGGACTTTACATTAAACTCAGTATAGCTCTGTTGTAGTGGGGAGAAAATCCGTGTTGTGCTCAGCCAGTGCCCACAGACAGGGGGGCCATTTGGACCAGTCCTAGCCAAAGGGGAATTGCTGATCACAGCGGGTAGAACTTGAGTTTCTCAGCAAGACTCGCCACCATGGGCCAAAGTGCTGTGGTGTCCTAGGTAAACTTTCAATGAAGTTTAGAACAGAAGGACTGCAATTCCTAGGCAACTCCTCGTGCTGGGCTAGGCTCAGAGCCAGAGGACCAGAGTAGCATGTGATCTAGGGAAACATCAGCCAGAGTGGCTAAGGGAGTGCTTGTGCTACCCCTCCCCCAACCCTAGGCAGTGCAGTTCACAGCAACAAAAGTGACTGCTTCATTCTGCTTAGTGGGAGGAGAGCAAAGAATAAAGAACACTTTGTCTTATACCTTGGATACCATCTCAGCCACAGTATAATAGGGCACTGAGCAGAGTCATGAGGCCCCCTTATTCCAGGCCCTAGCTCCTGGATAACGTTTTTAGACACACTGTTTGCCAGAAGGGAACCTGCTGCCATGAAGGGGAGAACACAGCCTTGGCAGCATTGATTATCTGCTTACTAAAGAGCCCTTGGGCCATGGATAACCAACTGTGATACCCAGGTCATCAAGGATCTTGGCTGATCCTCTGAGACTTGTTAGCTTCAGGTGAGACTCAGCAGATTACGAGATGTAGTGGTTATGGGGTAAAACTCCTTCTGCTTGAGAAAAGCAGAAGGAAAAGCAAAGGGGACTTTGTTTTGCACTTAAGTACCAGCCTGACCATAGGTGGGCAGAGCACCAAGCCAGGTCTAGGGGGTCCCTGATTCTAGGACTCGATTCTTGGATGGCATTTTTGGACCTGCCCTGGGCCAGAGGGGAGCCTTCTACCCTGAAGGGCGAGTCCCAGGCCAGGGGGCTTTCAGCACAAACTGACTTAAGAGAGCTTGGGCTTTAAGTGGACATCAAAGGTGGCCTGGCAGAAAACCCCTGTGGGCCAATGATGAAGGAGGCCATGAAGAGAGGCTCCTCTGCCTGTGGAATGGGGAGGGAAGAGCAGGAAGGACTTCGTATTGTGGTATGAGTACCAGCTTAGCCTCAATAGAATAGAACATCAGGCAAATTTGTTAGGTTTTTGACTTAAATCCTGGCTCCCAAATAGCATCTCTGGACCCATGAGGGCCTGAAAGGACTTGCTGTTCTGAAAGAAGGGACCTAGATAGATTTACCACCTGCTGATTGCAGAGCCCTAGGACCTTGAGTGAGCATAGGAGGTAGCCAGGTAGTGGTTATAAAAGGCCTTGGGTGAGACACAGTGTTGTGCTGGCTTCAGGTCTGAATCAGCACAGTCCTAGTGGTGATGAACACAAGGGTGCTTGTGTCACCCCAGCCCCAGTTCCAGGTGGCTCAGCACACACACACACACACACACACACACACACAGAGAGAGAGAGAGAGAGAGAGAGAGAGAGAGAGAGAGCAATAGAGAGAGAGAGAGACTCCATTTGTTTGGGAGAAAGTAAGGGAAAAGAACAAGAGTCACTGCCTGGTAATCCAGAGAATTCTTCCAGATCTTATCCATGATCAAGTTGGTACCTCTCCAAGTCTGTAAAAACCACAACATCCCAGCACTTTGGGAGGCTGAGGCAGGCAGATAACGAGGTCAGGAGATCGAGACCATCCTGGCTAACACGGTGAAACCCCGTCTCTACTAAAAATACAAAAAATGAGCTGGGTGTGGTGGCAGGCACCTGTAGTCCCAGTTACTCAGGAGGCTGAGGCAGGAGAATGGTGAGAACCTGGGAGGTGGAGCTTGTAGTGAGCCGAGATCGTGCCACTGCACTCCAGCCTGGGCGACAGAGTGAGACTCCATCTCAAAAACAAACAAACAAATAAACAAAACAATATTGGGCTTGGGACTTATGTTCTTTCAAATACCTGAAAAGTCTTTGCAGGAAGGATGAGCACAAATAAGCCCAGACTGTGAAGGCTACAGTAAATACCTAACTCTTAAATACGCAGATACCAATGAACACCTGCAAACATCAAGATCATCCAGGAAAGCATGACCTCTCCCAAAGAACTGAACAAGGCACTGGGGACCAATTCTCGAGAAGCAGAGATATGCGATCTTTCAGGGAGAGAATTCAAAATAGCTGTTTTGAGGAAATGCAAAGAAATTCAAAATAACACAGAGAAGGGATTCACAATCTATCAGGTAACTTTAACAAATAGATTGAAGTAACTAAAAAGAATTAAGCAGAAATTCTAGAGCTGAAAAATGTGATTGACATACCAAAGAATGCATGAGACTCTCTCAACAGCAGAATTGATCAAGCAGAGAAAAGAATTAGTGAACTCAAAGAGATGCTATTTGAAAACACACAGTCAGAGACGACAAAAAAAAAAAAAATGAAGCGTGCCTACAAAATCTAGAAAATAGCCTCAAAAAGGAATATCTAAGTTATTGGCCTTAAAGTGGAGGTAGAGAAAAAGAGGTAGAACACCCCAAACCTAGATAAAGATATACATTCAAGTATAAGAAGGTTATAGAACACCACGCAGATTTAACCCAAAGAAGACTACCTCAAGGCATCTAATAATAAAATTCTCAAAAGTCAAGGATCCTAAAAGCAACAAGAGAAAACAAACAAATAACACACAGTGGAACTCCAATACATCTGGCGACAAACTTTTCAATGGGAAACTTACAGACCAGGAGAAGTGGCATGACATATTAAAATGCTGAAGAAAAAAAAATCACTCTTGAATAGTATATCTGGCAAAAATATGCTTCAAGAATGAAGGATATTTCATGCTTGAAGGATATTTTCCTTTAGACTTTCACAGACAAACAAAAGCTGAGGGATTTCATCAACACCAGATCTGTCCTATAAGAAATGCTAAAAGGAACTATTCAATCTGAAAAAAAAAAAAAAAAAAAAGGATATCAATGACCAATAAGAAATCATCTGAAGGCACAAAACTTACTGGTAACAGAAAGTACACAGAAAAACATAGAATATTATAAGATAGAATATTATAAGACTGTAATTGTGGTGTGTAAACCACTCTCGTCTGAAGTAGAAAGACTAAATAATGAACCAATAAAAAATATAAGTACAACTTTTTAAGACACAGTACAATAAGACAGGAGAAATAACTAAAAGTCATAAAAACAAGAGGATGAAGTTAAAGTGTATAGTTTTTATTAGTTTTACTTCTGTGTGTTTGTTCATTTGTGTATGCAAGCAGTGTTGTCATTAGTTTAAAATAATGAGCTATAAGATAGTATTTGCAAGCCTTATAGTAATATCACAGAATAGGGTATTCAGCCATATGAAAGAGTGAAATCCTGCCATTTGCAACAACATAATTGGAACTGGAGGGCAATATGTTAAGTGAATAGGTCATTATGTTAAGGTGGTGGAGAGTAGAAATACAGTTACCAGAGGCTGGGGAAGGTAGTTGGGGGGTTGTTGGGGTGGTGGGGATAGTGAATGGGTACAAAAAATAGAAAAAATGAACAATGCTTAGTATTTAATAGCACAACAAGATGACTATAGTGAAAATAATTTAATTGTACATTTTAAAATAACTGAAGGAGTAAAATTGGATTATTTTTTACACAAAGGATAAATGCTTGAGGGGATGGATACCCCATTTTCCGTAATGTGATTATTACGCTTTGCATGTCGGTGTCAAAATATCTCATGTACCAATTAAACATGTACAACTACTTTATATCCACAAAAATTAAAAGTTAAGAAAAATATTAAAAGGTATAAGTTGAAACCTATCAAAAGTTTTATTTTTCTTTCTCAAACATTATAAAAGAAAGCTGTAATTACAGCATGCAGACAACAATTTATTATCTTTTGTTTTTGTTTGAGTTCTATCGCAGTGAATTATCTCAAGAGTTTAAAAAATAAAGTTATTCTCCAAAATTTATTTAAAAAAATAGACAATCTCCCATTTCCCTTTCATTGACATAGTACCTTTATAGCTTTTCGGCTGAATATTTTGGCATTTTCTCAAAATAACAGCTTGCATTGTTACTTTTTTACTTTTTGAATTTTGACATTATATATGCATTGACTTGCTACTTTGGAAGATAATAGATGTCTGTTTTTTGCTGTCCACCAGATACAAAGTTAATTTATCTGTCCTTTTATCCTTCCAATACAGTAATATTATAAATATGATTAGATATTTTGCACTTATTATTATAATTTGGTAAATGTTACATACAGATAAGCATGTAATTACTGTGACTCAATTTTCTACCTTTTAAAAAAGCATTAAATATTGTCATGTTACGTGTGTTTGATTCTCTCTCTTTTTCTCTGTCTCATTTTTTTAACTGTTTTCAATATGTACATTTTACCAATGGAACTCCCAGCAAACTTTCGTTTTCAACTTCTTATTTCCGGGCACTTGAAGCATTTGAGAAATTTCCTGATCTTGGAGGAATGTCCCGTGAAGATTTCTGTCATGCTCCATTCTAGGTAGCTGTCTCCTACACATTCTATTCAGGCCTCACTGTGCAATCTTCCTTTTTCATTGTTACAACTCTCAATCTCTTTCTTTCATGTTTTCCATTTTTCTTTATGTCTCCTTATTTTCCCTTATGCTCCCTTTTCCTGAGGTGCTTCTTCACTTTACTGATGCATAGCTGCCAATAGGTTCCTGAAAAAGAGTACACAATAAGTATGTTTTGAGAGCTTTTATGTGTAAAACATCTTTATTTTACCTTAATATTTAATTGACAATTTGGTTTATAAGAGTAGGTCAGGGAAAGATAAGCACGCCTGGCCAGTGTCTTAGTATCAGGGAGGAGGTTTACTTGTTCCTGTGGTAACAGGAAGTGATTTGGGCCCGAGGGGTTCCGCCATACACAGGCTTAAAGTCCTTGGGGAGCATGTCTAGCACTTCCGGGGTTGGAGTGTTGAAGTACTCTTTGTTGATCTTAACTCGATTGTCATCTCAATCTTTTAGTTCCTGCTTTAAAAAAATTAGAATATTATTATTTGCCTCATATGGTTGTGATTATTATAAAATAAGATTACATGTGGCAAAAACATGGCATGGTTGGAGATTGAAGAGTATGTTGATTGAAAACTGGGGCTGCGGTGTAAGAATTTCTGGGTTTGAATCTTGACTACCTCATTTGTTTTGCTGTATGAAGTTTAGCAAGTTATTTTTGCCTCTCTATACCTCAAATTCACTTGTGAAATGTGGATAATAAAATAATAGTACCTTCTTCATAAAATCATTGCAACGTTTACACATGAAGTAGAATTATATATATTTAACTCGATGGTCACAGAGTAAAAGAACAACAGATATTACATATGATTATTATTTATAAAAGCATTCTAGCCAGAGCTTGGTACACTCAAAAACATACTTTTTTTAAATTCTCAATTGTCACAATTCTATTTGCAAGTATTTTAATAATTCATAACCATAACCTAGCTAGATAATATTCAAGATTTAAAAAATGGAACCTTAATTGAAACACTATTGTGAACAACCTTGTTGGTATTTTATGTGGAATAAAATTAAATAAACAGATTGTTTTTAATGGTTGAAATAAATATGCACAATAAAATGAAAGCTATGTTAGATATATATTTCAAGCAAACTATAGAATTTCATGACTAGCATCACAGAAAATCTATGAAACTGGTTTTTAACTACCATCATTATATAGTTCTTTCTCAAGGAAATTGAAGACTGACAACCGTGTTTCCATCTGGAAACATCTAACATCTGTGATTGTAAACATCAAAACACAGCTGTTGCAGTTCTGAGTAAGCACTCCAATTTATTTATTTTTGACTTAAAAAAAATCTTCAGTTTTCATCAAACATCACAGTTGTTAAGTCATGTTCTTACAGCAGGAGGAAAAACAATTAAGAGAAATCACTATATCAAACATTTAAGAACAATACTCTTTTTGTATTTCATTTAGAGGGAATCAAATCTTACTGTGGTTTAAGAAAAGCATTTTGGAGGGGGTTCCTTTTTTTTAAGAAACCCCAGAATTTAAAGCTACAAGGATTTTAGAGATCATTATGTACATTGATCAGATATTTTTGAAAAACACAACAATGTTCAAAGGGAAAAATTGGGCTACTCAAGTTCACACAGGCAGGTGGTCTCAAGGCAAGGAATAGAATAGTCTTATTCTAGTGTTTGGCATTGGAGCTTCACATTAATTTTAATAAGAAAATGTCTTGCTAAAAAACAAGTGTATCTCGGTGTAATATAAAATTTTAATTATACATGATTCTAAAAATGATTCCATTTAAAGAATATCATATTAAAATTGATTTTAACTATTATACGTACAAGTAGTTCTGTAAATAATGCCAAAAACTTGAATCACTTTACCAATTCTTAATCATAGTTCTAATTCAGTTTCAGATAGACTAGCTCCTTTAACTGTACCCTCCCCTTTTGTAGCCAGGAAGACCTGAAGAAAAAAGTTCTGCAGATTTAGTCCTTAAAGCATGCTCACCAGTTTTTATTCTCTACTGGCCTGCAAACTCCTTGAAGGTGTATGGTTTCAGATCTCTTTTGTATTCTGCATTGAAGCACAGACTCTTTCAACTGATGCATTGTTTGGTTTTTCAGTCTTCTTTCCTTCATCCTAGTAGACAGGGTCATCCTGGGCTCCAGGCTCTGCAGTCTGAAGCCAGGTCCATATCCTAAGGCTCTCCTTCCAGATGCCTGGCTACCACCCATCTGGAAGGTTAAGATGGCAGGGATTCCTTTAATCTGAAGAAAGTGAGATGCTTTGATTGGACCAGTCTTGATGACCTAGCTAAAAGGGCAACACCAATTCAGTAACACCAGGTTCTGATTACCAGTATTACTGATTCTGATTTGCAAGATCTGGGCAGACGTTAGAGGTTGTAGTTTATACTTCAGCGGTAACCTTTGAGAAGCCAAGTTTAAAGCTGGAAAATTCTCTCCTATGGTACACGAGTGCCTCCAAGTGGCAGAAAATTAAGGTGCATGGGTATAACTGAAAGCTAAACACCATACCCAGTTGCACCCAAGCACACTGGCATCTTGGTAGTGGTTGTTTCTGCCAGAGAGAGTCACAGGTAACTTAATTATATATTTTGGATATGGCCAACCTTCGAATTTTAACTGTAAGCTTTCTTTAAAATAGGCAAAGAGGATGATATGATTTACATAACTAGCTTCAATCTTCATCTGTAAGATTTGGAAAATGATTCCTAACTCATAAGAATATTGCAGGAATTAAATGAATTAAAATGCTTATACCAGTGCCTGGCATATGTGATATGATATTGGTAATATGTAGCAACTATTGGTAGTATGATATATGTTGTATATACTAAATAGTATATCTTATGTTGTATATATTCCATGTATGAATATATAATATATAATATTTATAATATAAATATATAACATATTACATACAATGAGTAATATATGCTATGCAATATTCATAATGGGAAATATAATATTGAACATATAATGTATAATATTATTATTATGAGATTCATAATTTTTTTGCAGGGGATTGGGCTACAAAATGATTTGACTTTTTTTTGAGAATTGTACAAGAGAGCTATCCATCAGCAAGGATGGATTCAGTGGCTCAATAAGTTGTGGAGATTTGGGCATTTTAACATGGAAATCAAGTGGAATTATTGCAAATTTTCCATACAATCAAAGGCCCAAAATGGAAGCCCGATATTATAAAATGGCACAAGAAACTGAGTGCTCTTCCCACTCATCAATAGTCTAATAGACTGAAAGAAACTTTCTCAAATCTTTGAGAGACATGTATGCATTCCCTCCTTCCCAACCACGATGGCCAAGAATGAAAAAGAGCATTTGGTGCTAATTGCCTTTATCTATTACCTAGTAACAGCAGCAGAGCAGTTGGCTGCTGGAATGAGCTGTCATGCCATTAGTTGACTCAAAGTTGGCACTAACACATGGATGCCCAGTTTGTGAACGTCCAGCTCACCCTTTCAGGAGATACACTAGTTCTTATATTATAAAGGATTTCAGTTCTCAGGACTAAGAACAGTATCCCTGACATAGTAAAGCTACTATTCTGTGACCTGTCAAAAATTTAATCTTCTGATTTTCAGAAACTAGTCTAATGGGACTCAGTTGACTTAATTGGCCATTCTTTCTGCCCAATCTCAGCTGAAATTTTTTTTATTTTTATAGATTTAGGGGTAACAAGTGTAGTTTTGTTACATGGATATATGTAATGGTGAAATCTGGGCCTTTGGTGCACCCATGATCCAAACAGTGTACACTGTATCCAAAAAGTAATTTTTTTTTTATCAGTTCCTACCCTCCCGGCTTCCCACCATTTGGAGTTTCCAATGTCTATTATTCCCCTCTTATGTCCATTTGTACCCATTGTTTAGCTCCTGCTTATAAGTGAGACCATACGTTATTTGACTTTTGGTTTCTGAGTAATTTCCCTTAGGATAACGGCCTCCAGTTTCCAAGCATGTTGCTGCAAAAGACATGATTTCATTTTTCAAAAAATGGCTGAGTAATATTAAGGGTTACTGAGTAGTAGTAGCAGGGATTTTTTTTTTTTTTTAACTTGTTGAGTTGTTTCATTTTCTTGTAGATTCTGGATATTAGCCCTTTGTTGGATGCATAGTTTATAAATATTTTCTCCCGTTCTGTAGATTGTCTGTTTACTCTGATGATTCTTTCTTTTTCTGTGTAGACTATTTTTACTTAAATCCCTTTTGTCTAATTTTATTTATTGTGTTTGCCTTTGAAGACATAGTCATAAATTATTTGCCTAGGCCAGTGTTCAGAATAAATTTTTCTATATTTTCAGGTCTTATGTTTACGTCATTTATCAAACATAGATAATATGTTTGATAATAATAATATGATAAATATGATATTTATCAAACATAGATATCTTTTGGAGGAGTCTTTACGGTTTTCTAGGTCTAAGATGATACCATCAGTGATTATAGACAATTGACTTCCGCTTTTCCTATTTGGCTGCCTTTTATTTTTTTCTCTTGCCTGATTGCTCTTGTTAGGTCTTTGTATACTATGCTGTATAGAAGTGAGGGTTGGGCATCCTTGTCTTGCTCTAGGTTTAAGGGGAATGCTTTCAAGTTTTCCCTGTTCAGGATAATGTTTGTTGTGGGTTTGTTGTATATGCATTTAATTATTTTGGGTGTGTTTCTTGGATGTCTAGTTTTTTGAAGGTTTTTGTCATGAAGGTATGAGGAATTTTATCAAATACTTTTTCAGTATCTATATATCTATAGAGGTCATCATAGGTTTTTGTTTATAATTCTGTGTGACACTGATGATACATTAAGTTTGTGGGTTCTTTGGAGAAGAGAAACAGATGGGGATATGATTATCTAATTCTCTAGATTTTCCAATATTCTGTAACATCCTAGAACTCATCTTGTGGAGAGCTCCAATTTAACTTTCTCTTCTAAAATCAGAATAGATTAACAATCATTGCATTCTTTTTTTTTTTTTTTTTTTGAGATGGAGTCTTGCTCTGTCGCCCAGGCTAGAGTGCAGTGGCGTGATCTCAGCTCACTGTAACCTCCGCCTCCCGGGTTCAAGCGATTCTCCTGCATCAGCCTCCCATGTAGCTGGGATTACAGGCACCTGCCACCACACTTGGCTGATTTTTGTATTTTTAGTAGAGATGGCATTTCACCATCTTGGCCAGGCTGGTCTCGAACTCCTGACCTCATGATCCACCTGCCTCGGCCTCCCAAAATGCTGGGATTACTGGCGTGAACCACTGCTCCTGGCCACATTATTTTCATTTTTAATTGCTTGATATTAAAATCCATTCAATTAACTTGGCCTATGTAGATAGTTTAATTTTAATACATAACGCTGAGGCTAAAAAGAAGATAAATATTTTTGTCCTGAAGGACATTTCGAGATTACTTCTAAACTGTTTACTTGAAGAGGATGAAACAGTTGTGTAAGAGAATAATACAAAGAAAATTATAAAGCCTAATCTTTGCTTTAGTTGTATATTTTACTCGAAAAAGCATGTTTGCTTTATTGAAAAATAAGTTAGTTTCATTAATTTAATATCAAATATTGAATATTATTGGTCTTTCTAACAAAAATAATTTAATAATTAAAAAATAGAAAATGAAAGAGGAGGTTTCTCTTGTCAAAAAACGTTGTGTGCTTTACAGAAACTTTACTTTGGAAATCACTAGAATAAAGAATCTGGCCTTTAATTTAATCTTCACTGTGGTAGTTTAATAAATATATACTGTGGTCTCCCATTTTATCCACCAAAGATCAGTGATGTGTGAAATTGGAACAGGTGTCAGATATTAAAGAACACTCCGTGATAAAGTTTGTAAAGAAGAGAATTAAATAATACTTATTTCATGGTTATGCTGTACCATAAAAATAACAGTACCTTTAAAGCTCACAACAACCATGTAACAGACATATTATCGTCTCAAATTTTCAATGCGGGAAACAAAACCTCAGTAAATGCTCTTATTTGTTCAAGGTCCTGAAGGAAATTCAGGCTCTATTTTGGACCCCAATCATGTGTCAGTTGCCAAAGTCTATCCACTATATTATTCTACTTCATATTAAGAAGATACCTGCTTTTCTAAGATAGCACCACAAGGGATAATCAGGGGAACAATTTTGTAGAAAATAGTCAGAAATATGTTGGTAGGGGGTGCTTTGGTTGGTGGCATAATGGGAAAAATTTGGTAGTGATAGAGATGTTTTGTTTTCAAATTTCAATATTTATTTTCTTGGATGCCATTTTAATAGAAGTACTAAAGAAATTTGGTCTGACCTTGAAATTAAACTTCTGAATTTATCACTATTCAAATAAATGACTCTTGGCCGGGCGCGGTGGCTCACGCCTGTTATCCCAGCACTTTGGGAGGCGGAGGTGGGCGGATCACGAGGTCAGGAGATTGAGATCATCCTGGCTAACATGGTGAAACCCCGCCTCTAGTGTAAATACAAAAAAAAAAAAAAAAAAAAATCAGCCAGGCGTGGTGGCGGGCGCCTGTAGTCCCAACTACTTGGGAGGCTGAGGCAGGAGAATGGCGTGAACCCGGGAGGCAGAGCTTGCAGTGAGCTGAGATCGTGCCACTGCACTCCAGCCTGGGCGACAGAACAAGACTCCGTCTCAAAAAAAAAACAACAAAAAAAAACCCTCTTAGCTTTATAGCTAAGAATAGATACTTGAGACAGTCTGCCCTGGTTTAAATTCTAGTTCTTCCAGTACTGGCTGCATAACTTCACGCAAGTCACTTTACAATATCTGGTGATTATGAAAGATACTAGCTTTTATTTCTTTTTTTAAATTAAACTTTAAGTTCTAGTGTACATGTGCACAACGTGCAGGTTTCTTACATACGTTTTTATTTCTGAAGAAATTAAAAATCTATGTCTGCTACGTGGTAAAAACTACATGCATCTGGTCTATGTAAGTGCTACACATTTTTATATTTTAATACTGGAAGATAACATCACTTTGGATCTTTGTGGTAGGAGTTTAATATGATCATGGTACTACAAAATAGGGGATTTGTTTTTAGCCTTGGCTTCCAGGAAGAAAAGGCTAACCTGAAAAATATTGACAACAAAAGAGAGAACACAAGAGCATAGATCACATAGTACATCAGAGACCACAGATCTAGAACAAATAATACATACATTATTTGTTCTAGGGAACAACAAATAAATAACTTTTAGAATATATATACCACTATTAAGAGAAATTTACAAAGCATAACCTATTTGGAGAGACGTAGTCTGGTAAGGAATATCTGAAAATAAACTTTTAATCATTTCCTGGTGAGAAGTCAGAGAATTCAGAAATTTCACAGGAAAGCAAAATTCTACACAGATGGATGTGGGAAAATATAAGGAACAAGGAGTAGATGACCGGCAGAATTCGAATAATGAGAAAGCTTGTACCATCTACATGAGGATATTTCTGGGCTTTATTACTGCTAGTGAAATGCTACCTGCAGGCCGGGCGCAGTGGCTCACGCCTGTAATCCCAGCACTTTGGGAGGCCGAAGCGGGTGGATCATGAAGTCAGGAGATCGAGACCATGGTGAAACCCCGTCTCTACTAAAAATAGTAGCTGGGTGCAGTGGCGGGCGCCTGTAGTCCCAGCTGCTCCGGAGGCTGAGGCGGGAGAATGGCGTGAACCCGGGAGGCGGAGCTTGCAGTGAGCCGAGATTGCGCCACTGCACTCCAGCCTGGGCGACAGAGCGAGACTCTGTCTCAAAAAAAAAAAAAAAAAAAAAAAAAAAAAAAAAAAAACACATGCTACCTGTAAAAAATAATTAAAAAGGTGGCTGAAGTTGCAATCAAAACTGTACAATTTAATATAGGTAGATTTATTTTTTATGCTTAAATTAAATTTTGGCCAGGCGTGGTGGCTCAAGCCTGTAATCCCAGCACTTTGAGAGGCTGAGGTGAGTGGATCACCTGAGATCAGGAGTTTCAGACCAGCCTGGCCAACACGACGAAAACCTGTCTCCACTAAAAATACAAAAATTATCCAGTCGTGGTTGCACCCGCCTGTAGTCCCAGCTACTCAGGAGGCTGAGGCAGGAGAATCGCTTGAACCTGGGAGGCGGAGGTTGCAATAAGCCGAGATTCCCCCACTGTGATCCAGCCTGGGTGACTCCATCCCCGCCACCCCCCTCCACCCCCCCAAAAAAATGTACAATGAAGAGTTCAATCACATCAAGAACTGGGGAAGGTCTGAGATTTTCTGTGATTTGCAAGCTGACGTGTGAAACTGACACAATTCCATAGATGCATATAAAACTCTTGGATCAGAGATGAAAGAATGAATAATTTTCAGAAAAAGCAGTAGTCAGAGTATCACCATATATGCAATGGTAGCTCTGCTGTTCAATTCTTTAGGGTGATATGAGGAGCCACAATGAAGGCAGAACACACAATGAGTTGTGGAATACCTAAGGAACACAAAACAAGAGATCAATAGTTTTTTGTTTGTGTTTATTTGTTTTTAGCAAGCCGCAAAGATTTTACCAATTAGCAAATTAGCCAGTCTACTTTCTCTTGGAAAGTGGGAAGCTACGTAGTGATCACACTGCAGTTTTCTTAACCTACCAGTTGCCTATGTGACTAGCCATAGAAAGTGCTCAGTATTAGAAGACAGGTAAGCCTTGCTGTCTGGCACAGTTAGCAAGAAGGTGCAGGAATGCTGAGGACTCACGATGGAACGCTGAGGACTCATGATGGAATGCCTTTCCAAATAAATGGTCTTCCGTAATGGCATTTACAACTTTTTTAAAATAATGAGGTTAAGACCTCGCGAATAACTGCCATAGCTATGCATCAGGCTTGGTACAACCTACCACAGTTACGACTCTTGTTCACAGCAGAGATAAGAGACAGAAACTGCCTCCTCCGAGAATTTGTCTTAACAGAGACTTATTTTTCCTTCAATGAACTACATATTACACAGAGAAAAGTATTGAGCATTAGCACAATTCGATACCCAAATTGATTATGTAAAATCAGTGAGTGACTCATGATATTTTAACAATTTATCTTGTCCTTATTTGACTCCATATGTTCTATGCTTGAGGCATAGGCTGGGTCTGTATTTATTTTCCATGAAGAGAAATTTTCCTCTATTCATTATTTAGGAACTATTAATTTTCAGGAAGAAAAGGAACTTGACCATCTCTCATTGTTTTCTTCCTTTTGATTTTTTTGTGATTTCTTAAAAATGCATATTGCAAACTTTCACTATCCATCCTTATTACATCCCTTATATAATTGAAACTTATACTACTTAATCAAATTTGAAATCACATCTGAGGGTGTAACATGTGGCATCCATCTATGATTCAAATAGCATGAGCATTATTTATGTCAAAACAATATATTCAGTAAGAATCCCTCACCCTGGCATGAAAATATGTTTATTTTGTTTAAAGATTATAAATGCACAGGTTCATACTGCAATTAGTACCTATATTACTATAGAATAATTTTATAGCTAAAAAATCTAATATATAAGTAAAATAAATTTTTATTCCCATGAAGATATAAGTGAGTATTTTGTGAATCATGACTCCAAGGATGTAGGAAATAAAAATTTTGATTAAATTAAGTAAATTCTGCCATGTTGGTTATTATCACTTTCATTGAATAATGCTAAAATAATAAATAATATATTAACTCAAAATGTTTTTACTGTGAGCCCTGGTTAAATTTCTGTTAATGAAAATGTGCAATATTCAGTCAGTAACAACAAGCATTATTGAAGACCTACTATTACTTACACAGGTAGATACATGAGAGATGGAACGAAGCAAAATGCATGTGCTATATTACTATATTCCATTCATAGCATTATTGAACTATTAATAAACATCAATAATTTCTAATAATGACTTTAGAATAATCAAATACTAAATGTTTTATATAATATTAAATTTTAATTTGTTATATCAATAATTATAGCATTTAAAATCTGTGTGTTATATTGCTTTTTTCTTCACTTCTTAGATACCCTACATTCACCCACAAAAAGAGTTCTTGGCTTAGGAATATACTAAGAACAAAAGCTTGTGAAATAGAGGTGTTTTTCAGTTACTGAAGAGGACTATTCAAAAATGAAGACAGAACACAGTCACTGCCCAGAAATCACATTAAAAGTTAAAGAATTTTGCTGGGTGTCTTCACTCTTTCATTTGGTTGACTCACATTCTTAATCTCAGGATAGCAAATTTTTATATCGTATTCAAGAAGCGTTTCTTTACTATACCTATTTGTATTAGTCTGTCCTCAGGGTACTAACAAAGACATGCCCAAGACTGGGTCATGTATAAAGGAAAGAGGTTTAATGGACTCACAGTTCTACATGGCTGAGGAGGCCTCACAATTATGGAGGAAGATGAAGGAAGAGCAAAAGGATGTCTTACATGGCGGCAGGAAAGAGCGTGTGTGCAGGGGAACTCCCACTTATAAATATATGAGATCCATGAGATCTCATGAGATATATTCACTATGAGAACAGTATAGGAGAAACCACTCCCAAGATTCAGTTATCTCCACCTGGCCCTGCCCTTGACACAGGATGGCGGGAATTGTTACAATCAAAGTGAGATTTGGGTGGGGACACCCAAACCATATCACTAATATGAAATAAGTGTTGTTTCACATTATTTTGCCTTATAAACTGATTTATATTAACATAACTGATGTATGTTACTATGAGTTATTTTATGAGCATTAAAGTTTAGTTATGGATTTATCTGAAACTAATATTTATTAATATCTCTATTATTAAATGAAATATTACCTGTTAATATTAATTATTTTATTTTTATTAGTCATATATTTAAAATTATATTACAATAAAATATTAAATTTTAATAGTTCATTATATTAATAAAAAAACTTATTTGAAAGGCCACTAGCCTTGGTTATTTAATGTACCCAACATTTTTGG
The DNA here is from genome assembly GCF_000001405.40 of Homo sapiens. Lineage (NCBI taxonomy): Eukaryota > Metazoa > Chordata > Mammalia > Primates > Hominidae > Homo > Homo sapiens. The sequence continues at coordinate 109,405 of NT_187595.1, forward strand.
AGAAAATTACAGTGTTCATATAGTACTTTAAAAAATTTAACATTTTAAGAATAGCACATTGATTAATGTTCTTGGTATATTTAGCAAATTTGAAAATCAGAGAAAAAGTGTAGAGTAGTACATCATGTTTATAAGTGAAGAATTATTATGTATGAGTTTTTATTAGGAGACAAGTATTTCTTTTACTATAAATCTAATAATTTCTAAAGTGATATATTCATTTATTCTTGAAATCAATAAAGTTATTGCTGTGTAAAATGGAAAAAACAATCATAGCTCTTGGGAATTTAAAGACGTTCACATAATGTATTGGGATTATTTATTTTATTTTATGGAAATAAACAGCTAACATTTTCAAAACAAAAGTTACAATATAAAGATTGGAGCACATAACAATGTTAGCTTTAATAAATGTTGTACCAGGACTCTATACATATACTACGACTCTTTGTTGTCGCCTTAATATGCCAATAGATTGCAAATAATACACATCATTACTCTCTCTACTGACAGACAATATAAAGAAAAAATTTAAAAAGATAACTTTGAGAATATAAATGCATACTTTTAGAATGGAATTAAAACGTATATGCTAATAAAACAATGGAAACAGATGTCACTGAGAACATTTGCATTCACTACTTGAAATACAATCACTATTTCTATTTTTGAATTTCATTATTGAATCCACAAATAACATGCCTTTGAAAACATAGTTTTTATTAAATACTTGAATAATTTTATCTCTGCAAAGACATCAAAGAATAGTAGTTTCCCCTTTATATAGTAATGTTTTAGATTTCTCATTATAAGTGTTCCTATTTTTCTCTCATGTGGTAATCAATAAAATTGCACAAAGATAATGTTCTTAAATCTCAGAAAAACAGAAACAAAAAGCACCGTATTTGTTTGCCAGCCTGGGGAATGAAGCCATTTTTGGAACATTCTTGGGTTCTTTCTATTTACCACATGTCTTCCCAATTTTAATGTTAAAAACTATATTAAGTACTAGATATGTTGTATTAGGTTTCTCTAGAGGGACAGAAAAACTAATAGGCTAGATTTATATATGAAGGGGAGTTTATTAATTCACATTATCACAAGGTGAAGTCCCACAATAGGCCGTCTGCAAGCTGAGGAGCAAGTAAGCCAGTCTGAGTCCCAAAACCTCAAACGCAGGGTAACCAACAGTGCGGTCTTCAGTCTTTGGCCAAAGGCCCGAGAACTGCTGGCAAACCACTGGTGTAAATCCAAGAGTCAAAAGCTGAAGGACTTGGAGCCTGACTTTTGAGGGCAGGAAGCATGTAGCATAGGAGAGAGATGAAGGCTAGAAGACTCAGCAAGTCTGCTAATTCCACTTTTCTTCTGCCTGCTGTATTTTAGCTGTGCTGGCAGCTTGATTAGATGGTGCCCACCCAGATTGAGTGTGGTCCCGCCTTTCCCAGTCCATTGACACAAATGTTCATTTCCTTTGACCACACCCTCATAGACACACGCAGTAACAATACTTCGCATCCTTCAATCCAATCAAGGTGACACTTGGTATTAACCATCACATATGTACTGAACAGAATTTTATAATTTTAATGATTTAAAAGGTGTTTATCTCAAAACCATCATTTCAGTATTGACTTCATAATCTGGATGTTACCTGAAGCTCTCGCTCTTTCGGAAATTCTTTGTTCAGGAGCACTTCCCACTGTCACCCAATGAAACAATAACTCCGTGCCAATATATCCTCTCCTGATCTTCATTACAAGACTAGTTCTGCATTTCAAACTACCAAGATTTCTTCCACTTAAAATGTAAGATGCCTAAAATAGCAATTTATCCATTTCTGGCTCTCAATTCCCTGTTTTTCCTTAAATCACATTCACTTTGCATTCACAGCCACGTTTTCTCCTTGTTCTTGACTGAGACACAGAATAAGGGTCCTTTCTATTATTTTTCCCCACATTATTCACTCAAGGTATATGTGTAGCAAGAGATGTACCAAGGAAAGTTTATGTTGTACCAACAAGATACTCTTAAAATATACTAGTTCTGTAGAAAACCCTGATCTTGGAGTCAAGTAGAAACCCTGCAGCTGGGAGTTTGTCTCTGGCTGTATTTTTCCTCAGACTTCATTTATCTTACCATGTTCTATTTCCTTCTCCTTGTCCCTCTGTTTTTTCTACCCCTCCCCTTTCCTAGTTCTTGGTCAGCTCCGTGCTTCCATAAACACATTTTACCTGTTTTTGCATGATTGTGTAGCTAACCTTTATTTCACTCTGTTCTTAAAGGTTTTGTTGCAGTCTCACCGTCCTTAATCGTCAATTAGGAACTCCACAACTGGGAAAAAGTCTTGGGCCATATTTTTCTTCAGGTTCTAGTTCTCTGTCATGCTCTCTGTACCATATCTTTGCATCAGTCTACTAAAATGTGGTTTGACATTGCATATAGTTTTGTATGTAAAACTGTGTGCAAAGTATTTATATATATTATTTCTATGCTTGTGGGAGTGTGTATGTGTGTGTGTGTGTGTATAGATCTGACAGTAGCACGTAAGTGACCAATATATGCAGGAAATAGCTTGAGCAAAATTTATTCCCATTTATATCCATAAAATATAATCCTTATTTTAATTTTTAACTAAATAAAATAATTATAATTACTTTTACAGTGCTATTTTTCCATTTCACATTGGAGAATTATAATTCTATATATTTATGGGGTGCAAAGTGATGCTATTATATATATATGTATATGTATATCTATATATATATATACACACACACACACATACATACACACGCACTCACAAACAAATGTGGGATGATTGAATCAAGCTAATTAACAATTCATCCCCTCAAAAACTTATCCTTTATTCCTCCTGTCTAACTGAAACATTGTATCCTTTGACCAACATCTTCCCCTTCCCGCTACTCCCAGCCTGTGGTAACCACCATCATGCTCTCTGTAAAGCTCTGATTTTGAATCAGAATCTTCTAGTGCCATCACAACTCTTCCAAAAACAGTGATCCATAGTTCTTAACTGGAAGTAAGGAGGAATATGAGTAGACAGTTCAGAGGAGAGCTGGGCAAGAAAATAGGAGAAGCTGCTCAGAATCACTACTCCATAGGCAAATAAAAATGAAGAAAATATACAACATAATTGTATAGTCTTCAGAATGGCAACAATTAGGAAAGATAATAATTTAACTTGATTTTCTGGCAGCTATTGTAAGGAAGAATACATTTCCATACACATTGGTAGAACTTAACAAGCACTAGCCTTTTCAGAAATAAATATGCCAACATGTATTAATAATAATTTAACTTGATTTTCTGGCATCTATTGTAAGGAAGAAGACACTTCCATATACATTGGTAGAACTTAACAAGCTGTAACCTTTTCAGAAAGAAATATGCTAACATGTATTAAATATTTAATAATATTAATTTATTATTGTAATTGTGTTGTATTAATGACCTTATATATTACGTATGTTATATGTGATACATATGCATGTATATTTGTATATAATCTCCTGTGGTCCAAAAATCCCATGTCAGGATCCTACCCAGGAGAGAAAAGAATCCTGATGTGCAGGAATCCATGTAGATGGAGGTTTACTGAAGTACTATTTACAGCATCTAAAAACCGCCGTCTCCCTTTCCCAATATCGAGCATGAGATTCCAGTAATAGAAATTCTCGAGATTATCTTCTCTAACTCTCTTTTTAAAGCTTAAGAAATGAAGTTGAGATGTTGAGATATTAAAGTCACACAGCTGGTAATTTGCTCAGTCATCTGGAATAGAAATCCATTGACGCACAGTTTCATTTTTACTGACAAGGAATTCATGTACTGACATAAAAATTCTCTTTTCAAAATTAATCTCCAAAGGTCGATGAGACATGTACACTAAGGAGTCTTCTCAGCATGATTCCTAAAGGAGAGGGAAAGATACGTAGTGGGGAGTGGTGCTTTCTCGATGTGAGAAAAACTATTTTCCATGTTGCTCTATTAATAAGCACAGAAACCAGCTTTCAGAAGATGACAGGATAAGAACTTTTGACAATAAGCATTATCTTATAAAATAATATGATCTTAATTAGGAACAGGATAGCATAGAAAAACATAAAATGAATACATTTATAAATCATTATAAACCTTATTGACCAGGGATAACTTCAAATAAAATTAGTTTAAAAATACTGTTAATGTATGTGTGTGATTGTTTTATCTATATTTATTTATTTATTTATTTATTTATTATTTATTTATTTATTTTTGAGACAGAGTCTCGCTCTGTCGCCCAGGCTGGAGTGCAGCGGCGCGATCTCAGCTCACTGCAAGCTCCACTTCCTGGGTTTATGCCATTCTCCTGCCTCAGCCTCCCGAGTAGCTGGGACTGCAGGCACCCGCCACCACACCTGGCTAATTTTTTGTATTTTTAGCAGAGACGGGGTTTCACCGTGTTAGCCAGGATGGTCTCGATCTCCTGACCTCATGATCCACCCGCCTCGGCCTCCCAAAGTGCTGGGATGACAGGTGTAAGCCACCGCACCCAGCCGATTGTTTTATTCTTAAAAATGGGCCTATGTGGTCTCCACCATGGTTTTCAGTAAATTGTAAACATTTTTGCATGCCATTAAATGTTTTCAAAACATTTTGTATTAACAGTTACATAGTAGCTATTTAAATAGCTGAAGCTTATTCATTAAATAATTTATCCATATTTGAAATTTAGCTTTCCAATTGAAGCAATTCCAAGGAATACAGGGCCTATATTCAAAATTTCCTCAGTGTATATCAATCAAAATAGACTTTAAGATGAGAAATTTTGTTGCTTGTCTTTGTTCAGATTTTGTTAGTTTAACTTCTGCTTATCAAATTATCTAGGCTTTATGTGTAAATTTATTTTTCCAACAACTTTATAAGTATATGTTTATCTTTCAGATACACAAACCTTGCTTATCCCTGTGTAAAAATGTTCAGCAATTTAATAAACTATGATACATCATTATTTTATTTTTGTATGTGTTGAGTTTGAACATTTTAAAATTGGTTACCTGATTTTTATTTCTTGCAATTTGGATTTTAGTAACTATATAAGCCTTTTACAATATTATTCCCTTCTTATCTTAAAGTCTAGCATTCGTGTTTTCTCTTCTTGACACTGGAAAACATAGTTTCCCTAGTATGTAATTATCAACCTATTGTCTCTATTTTTTAATGAATTACTTCGTTTTTGTAATCTTTTATTTCAATTGCTTACATTCGTTTTATCTTTGATTTTCTATGTTTGACTGGCTTTAGAAGGCTAACTAATGAATATTTACATTGACAATTTTTAGTTAACACCATTTTACCTTGTGGTTTGCTCATGAATTTAGCTTTGGCCACATTCCACAAATTTCTTTATAGATTATGTTTAAAACTTACTTACATGTTAATTTCCTGCTTAAAATAAGTGATAAACAATATAAAGCATTTTCCATAAAATAGTACATGTTATGCTGTATTTTTGTTAAACTTCGCCTGTTATATACATATCCATCCTTTTACACTACATTTATTATTGTTATAATATTTTCTGATTAAGTGACAAGACTGTCAATAGTATCAGGCAGTATTCAGTGCTGGAAAAAGAAACCCTTCTAAAAATTTTAGATGAGAAGGGAATTAGTAGCCATGATTAGGTGCCCACAAAATGACTAGGACCCCTGGATTAGGGAGCCATGCTGATCCCTACGGACTAGGTGAACGCTTTGATCGTGATTATTAATGTATGAATCTGACTCAGAATGCCTCAAATCAAGAAGCCTTAAATCACAATCAAGGATGAGTTATGAATAAATGGACTTCCTAGGATGCTAGAAAACTGAAGTCAGAGTTACTGGTGCAGTGAGATTTGCCTCCTCTTTCTCCCAATATGCTGTGGGGTTGCTGGGGACAGTGGTGTCCATGTTATTACTCAGTTTGTTTTGATGGTAAGAATATTTTGCATTTTTCAAAATGTGTTATATTAAGACTAAGACTGTTTGATTCCTTCCTGAGTATTGATGTGAATCTTAATATATGGTGGGTGTGGCATCTTCTGTATTTATCGATGCACTACCGTGAAGAGAAAGGAACACCAACAGTGGCATGTTTCCCCAATGACCTGTGAGCTGAAGAAAGCTCTGTTTATTTGCTTATATCAGCTCCTACATTCTTTTTTGTCAATCTTGCACCTAACAATTTATGTGTCTTTCTCTAGGCAATTTATTAAGAAATTTTAAAATTGTGTGTGTGTGTGTGTTCTCTTTACACTAACCAAGGAATAGAACCAGTTTTTATTTCCCCTTTAAAATCTTTCCAAGAAATTACAATACTGAATCCAGTAGGATTCATATCCAAAATATCATCTCATTAGTAATTGAGACGTGCAGGAATTTAAAACAAGAAATATAATTATTTATGATATAGATGAGAGAGAGAGATGTGAGCAGGCATGTTAAAGAATGACTAGACTTGTTATCAAACGATAGTGATAATTTTTGAAAAACAATTTGTTGAACAGTTTGAAAATAAAATTCAAGAACATATAAAGGTTAACATATTTTGATCTCTAAACCCTACCTCTGCAGATTCATCATAATTAATGCTTTTACATACTGTATGCAAAAAGGATCATTTAAATGTTCATTCACTATATCACAAAATTATAATATGACAAAATATTTTGAACATAGAATAAGTAATATTCTCAAAATATATATCATGTAGAAGTCCTGCCATCAAAATAGAGTAGCATGTTGAAATTTTAATATTTTAAAATTAAATAAAAATTCAGAATAATTTGTGTACATGATAGCAACAAGAAGAGAAAAAGAGAGAGAGAGAAAACATGAAATAAACGTAAAGTTACAAATGTCTAGAGAGTAAACAAAGTTGTGCCTGAATAGTAGAATTGTGGATTATATTTTTTATGTTTTCAACTTTTTAGAAAGGTTTATAAATTAATAGAACATTCAGGCCGGGCATGATGGCTCATGCCTGTAATCCCAGCACTTTGGGAGGCCAAGGAGGGAGGATCACGAGGTCAGGAGATCGAGACCAGCCTGGCCAACATGGTGAAATCCTGTCTCTACTAAAAATGCAAAAATTAGCCGTGTGTGGTGGTAGGCGCCTGTAATCCCAGCTACTCGGGAGGCTGAGGCAGGAGAATCGCTTGAACCCGGGAGGCGGAGGTTGCAGTGAGCCGAGATCAAGCCACTGCACTCTAGCCTGGCAACAGAGCGAGACTGTCTCAAATAAATAAATAAACATTAAAAAATTCAAGTCAATTTTCCTGTTCACACTAAATACAATATTATAAAATACCGGGAATTAGACATCAAATTTAAAACCAGCTCCGGTACTTCATTAACTCAAGTGAAAGCTTCAAAGTAAGTAAGCTCTGAACAAGAATTTCTAAGGAAGAAAAACCTGAATATTACATTTAAATTAATACTTTTTGGTCAAAGTAGATGGACATTATTCCTACCTCAAATTTCTATCTTGAGTTTTAGTTTAAATTTGTATGATTTCTCTCTCTCTCTCTCTCTCTCTCTCTCACACACACACACACGCACACACATGCACCCCTCTGTTTTTCCCCCATATAATCCCATGAAAACTTTTCACCTCTCTTTTCATTCTGCTTCCCTATTTGGCTCATAATGAGTCTGGGATCTGGCCTTCCTCTTCTGAGATATTTCTAGCTAGTTTGCATATATCAACTTTTATTCTCAAAGTGAACTTCTCTGCAGAACTTATGAGCGCAAGATGCCACAGAATGTTCTTGAGATATAAACCACTAGTATCTGCAGGCACCTGTGCCATTGACTTTTGCCTGGTTTCATAATAATGTGATAAATAATTTTTGAGAAGTGTTGAGTACGTGCACACAACAGAGTGGAAAAATATGGGATCGGTGGACTATGATGGAGACCACTGATGAGGCAGTATTTTGCCTGTCCAAGGTTGGTTTAATAAAAGAAAAATTGCTAGATTATATAATCACACATTTTTGTAAAAGAATAGGAAATAACATGTGGAAAACAAAAAACAGTATTCAAGTTTTGTCATATGTATATTTTTAAAAATGCAATAGGGAAGAGGTAAAATTAGATCGAAATATGACAAACATCTTATTGACATTAATTAAAATATACTAGTAATATGCTCACAAATAATTATTTATGCCTAACATGAATGATTAATGGGTTATAGAATGTCTGAATTTATAATACATAATGAAAATAATGAGCTATAATACAATAAGCTGTTTTTGTATCTACAGTTACATATGGTTAAATTATATTCAGAGAAAATATTATAACAAAAATCAAAAGAATATGGTCATGACAAAAATATATTAAATTATTGTGCTAAAATTCAAGAAAGAATAAGACAAAGATTCTTAATTTAAAGAATTTTCAATCAATGGTATTGGTAGTGTAGAAGGAACAGGAGACAGAGGAATAAAACTAGAATTACCAGGACCAGTAGATTAAAGTGATATAGATATGCTGAAATAATATGGAAAGAGGGATTTAAACCATCTTGTGACTTAAGGAAAACACAGGAATTTTTGTAAACCAAATTTATAGCCTAGCGCCTATAGACACCCACTTTTCCACGAGTTATGGTAATTTGTTTTCATGGAACTGTGCAAGGCAAAGACACAATTCTGATTTGCACCAGTTTCAGTTAATATAATACTATTCAAAGTGAGGACTGCCAGCATTTAATGATAGTTCTATGTTATAATTAAATAAAATTATTTTATACTTAACTTCCCTATGGTTTGTTAGAATATGTGTGTTTATAAGTGTGTGTCTATATGTATATATACATATAAATATATATGTGTGTGTGTATATATATAGTGGATGCATGTGTTTACTTTTATGAACTCAAAGACTACATTGCCCAGAAATAACTCTCTGGAAATTACTTTCTTAAGGAAATTATCATTGTGCTCTATAGCTTGCTATTATTCTGAAGAGCAATATTAAGCAGAAAATTGTCCTAACCATTTCATGGATATTATGAATAATTGGAATCTAACCAACAATAATAGCAATTTTCATAGAAATTTTGTGTAATAGACTGGTAAGAACCAAGTTGACCCACTTTCAGTTAATGTCATGTGTGGCAATGCCTTCCAGTGTTCTGTATCAGCGAATTTTAATAAGGCTAAATGTGATGATGCACCACAATATTCAACTAACTGATAGGGCGTTTTCAACACAGCCTAGCTTAATATCATTTAGCCCAGAAGCCCATAATCCACAAGAGCTGTGTCAGAGAAGTTTCTAGTCCAGCATGTTCCCAGCAGATGGTATTCATCTGCCATATGCTGCAATGCCTAGATAGGCACAATGATACAATGCCTGCTATTTCATTCAATAGTGAATTTGACTACGTGAATTAATACATACCAGGGGTAAATGACAGAAGTCAAGGGAGGTAATGGATATGGGAAATATTTAATATAAGCAATTGACAGATAATTCTGTTAGTATTTTTTTATATTCTGTTTGGCTCTATTTAGGACAAACAAAGTTTAAAATACAAATGGAGGCTAGTGTATAATACTTTGTAATCTGTTAAAGTCTACATTACATAAGTCTTTTAAATACAGTACAACTCAAATTCTCAATGCATAAAGACATTATAGATTACAGATATCCTAAAAATTATATAATACTTTCAACCCTACAAAATTCCCAAAATTTCTTGCCCAAAGCCTGCCAATCTCTAGGATGGCCACTTTTTCCCCTAAAGAAATTAACACTGTGTTTTCACTATTTTTTTCTAATGTAAGTGCAACTAGTGTAGTGTGTATTTTTTCTATCATAATATACTGGCTATTGCAAGGAAGTGATAATTTTCCAGTGGGGGACAATCAATCATACAATCAAATTTCTATAATATAATAAAATAATTTCATTATAAAATATTTTATTATGCAAAACAGTGAATTAGTAAAACACATACCTGGTTTTATGTCTCACAATCTCATACATGCCTGGTGTAATTCTGTTGTTATTTAGTCTCAAAAAAGAGACTATTCATACCAAATAATAAAATGTATTCTCTATTGAGATGATGGGTTTGTATCCTTCAAGCAACACTCTTTCAAAAGTCCCCTTTTTAGCCATTGATATGTCTTTGCATGTAAGCTAATCTTAGGCAATAAATATTCTCACGGGCCAATTATTAAGGAAAGATGTATCCAATTATGATCAATTGCCATTATAATGTACTTTACCAATACAGGACTTATGAGATATTGATACTACTTCGTAATAAGGAAGTATGCTCTTTCATATAGGTGGATAACTATGTTGGTCATTTTATCATTTTGTGAAACCATATTTTCAGCAACCTTCAGCTCATAGCTCATGCTTTCATTTTTTTAATTCATCTTTTGTTAAAGAAATACAAATACATGACTCACATGTAAATTAGAAACAAAATCAGTACACAGCTTATATACATTTTTTATCATAAAATGTTTTTCAGCAATAGAAAGTTTCTCAAAGTGAACATGATACTCTTGCAACAATGATAGCTAATTATAAGCAGTGAAACAGTAATATCAAATATTCAAGGGAGAATTCTCGCAGCTGCCAAGTTAATCTCCTCTAACCCAAAGTTCTGTTCATGTTCTTACTCAATAACCATCATTTGTTTCCCTGTAGCTTACCAAATTAATTAAAATTGATGCACTTTAGTATTCAAGGCAGGATACAATATGTCCTCAATCTGGCATTACGTGTTCTCTATCATAGTTCCTTAATTGTAACATACATTTCAGGTAAAGTGGGACATTATCAATTATAGTCCATAACCATTCTGGACTTCCCTAAGTGGGGTGGTATCAACTATAGTCCATAAACATTCTGGACTTCCCTCAATTTGAGTCTATATTTATGTTTATGCTGCTCTCTCTTTCAATTGAAACTATCTCTTGCCTTCAATTACTACTAACAGAAATCCTTCTAAGAATATCCAAAATGCTCCCACCTTCAGAATGTTTTTGGATTATCCTAACCCTGCAGTGTCACTTCCTCTCAAGAAAATATTTGGTTGTCTCTATCCTGTGACATGTAAAGGCTTTAATTTTAAATATATTTACTTGTATAATTTTGTTCTCAGATAATATTCTAAGATCTGTTGCCTAGTTCACTTACACTTTAGAAATCTATTAGAATTTTTAAGTACAGCTTTCTGATCTTTCTTGTCTCTGTGTGGTCAATCTACTTGACTCTACTTGACTAGCTTTTTATACGTATTAATGGGATTAATCTCTCTCAGGATTGAAGATATACATTGAAGTCTGCTTTTATCAGCTGGAAATATTCCTCCTTTTCTTAGGTTTTACATTTAATGTCTCCCATGTAGATCTCCTATGTAGTCATGTATTTTTTTCCTTGATTTACAACTCAAATGATACTGATGTATCATCGTTTAATAGTTCAATGGCTTGATTCAGTCACAAGAATCACACTCATTAGGTGTATATATCAACCTGGAGTAGATGAATGCTTTATTATCCTTTGGTGGATGTGTTAATTTTAACTGCTGAACATTTTCTTCAAAGAACTTATCCTTTCTTGCTGGTCAATTTTCCCATTCTCTATCCTTTAGGACTTTACTTCCTTCTGTACAACTAATAGATCTCAGTATCTATAGTACCTGGGGCTTCACCAAACATGACAACAGATTTCAATTGTGAGGGGTCATTTATTTATCAGCTGCTTCAGTGGGAACATCTACTTAAAAGAGGTATAACTTCAGAAGGTGGTGCAAGCTTATATTTAGCTGGCGTTCTATAGGAATTGTTCGTGTTCTATTTTGTCTTAGAATCTGTGTCACTGTAGAGCAACTCCAGCTTTTTCTTATTTTTGTGAGTGAAAAAATTGAATGATGTCACAAAGTTCCATGCAGGAATTACTATAACCTTTCTGCAACTGCAACTGAAATGATTTTCACTAGCCTGTTTCCCTGCCCCACTTAGGTGGCTTTTCATTGATATTTGGGATTTGCTAATGATCACCTACCCTGAGATAATCTTGTCTGATGATGTCATCTAGAGAACTAGCTCATACATTTTTTTTTTACAAATCATGGTAATATGTATCACTTTATTCATAGGAATTATCACATACTGAAATTAGTTTATTCATGTATTTATTCATATGTAGATATCAAAAGATTATAATTTGAATAAATGAAAAACCTCTCTATCATGCTATCATTGTACATGGTATTTTATAAGGAGTTATTGATTCTCTCTAGACAGAAGAAATGTTGTGTAAATCTTCAGAGAGATGGTAGATTTTGAAATTGGTCACAAAATACATTTGGTCATTTTCATGTAGAAAACAATTAAATATTTCAGATATTATTTGCCTCAGAAGAGGTTTTATATGTAAAGAGTGTGATACAAAGTTGTTTCAATGATTCATACGTGTGTGTGGACAACTTCTCAAGAAAATTTGCAAAAATTAAATCAATTGTTGGTTCCTCAGTTCTACAGTAATATAATGGCTCAATATCACGAACAATTTTTTTAAATGTCAACTCTGTCTAGTTATTTTTGCAAATTTTGTTTCATGTGTCATTTAATTTATATAATATATCATATTAAGACAATAGAGAAGATAGAGATTTTCAATTAAAAACTAAATTTCCAAACTCATTGTTCTTATATTAAGAAGCAATAACTTTCACATCATTTTATGTCTATGCCTGTTCTTGTTAGTTTGGCTCTTTATCTCAATCTTTGTCAGCCACTAGAAGTCTATGCCACATTTTTTTTCCCCCACATTTGAGATTACTTCAGGCAAATAGCTGCTCTAAATAAATAATCTGTTGCTTTCTTTCTCTCCTTTTCCATTTTTCCAACCTCAGTGCAGTTTCTTTCAGGTCTAAGATGACAGGTCAATATCATTTCTAAATCTAAGGTCGTTCATTCTCTTCCACACAGAGGGCCTCTCTTATTTTGTCTGTAGCCACTACATTTCTCAATATTAAGTTGAACAAACAGGGAGATAATGCTCATGCCTGTATTACCTTTATTCTGAACTCTTCCCTTAGTTACTTGTGGAGTCATATCACAGTCTTTGACTTATTGTCAATGATTTCCCCCACAGTGGTCAAATTTTTAAAAATTATTTTGCTCAGTATCAATCTTGGAAAATATATTTTAAATTGAAGTGTTTTTTAAGGTAACATATGGTACTGCATGTGTTGAATTATAGTTATTTTCTGCAAGACACACGCGCATGAGCACACGCGCATGCACACACACACACACACGCACATACTGATTTTAGTTTTGTTAATCTATATTCCATGAATAGAAGCAAATGGGAATGCAAGAAATTAGAGCACCAGAGAACATAAATTTTATTCCTCCAAAAGTATCATATTTAATACTCGAATTTTTGTTTCATAACCTTATATTTTAAATGTAAGAACTTTTTAAAGAGCAAAAAACTTGAGGAGAGAAGGAAAATAGGAAATGCAACAGGAAAAAAAAATAGCTGATCTCATGTGGTATTCAACTTATGTTGAGTTCAACCTGAAAATGGTTTAGATATTAGACAAACTATTATTTTGTTTATTAATGGCTCTGGTCATTCTTGTTATCCTTTCCAATGGTTTCTCTTCAACTATTTTTAAAACCATTTTTATCCCTAATTTTTCAGTTCTCTCTTATAGTTAAATATAGTTTGGAACTCATTTTTAAAACTAGTAATAGCCAGTAGAAAGGTATAGAGTTTGAGAGAAATTGTGAAATAATGAAATTATACTTTTTCAATTTATGTTGAATTTAAAAGTATAAGTAAACAAATCAGCAACTTTTTGCTCCGCACAATCCTATATTTGTCATTAAAATAATATATGGGCCCAGTAAACATCAGTAACATTTCAGAGCACATAAACTCACATAACTGTGAGTGAGAACATGCGGTGTTAGTGCTTCCTTCAGGAGTTCTTGTAAGGCAGGCCTAGTCGTGACAAAACCTTGCAGCATTTGCTACTCTGTAAAGGATTTTATTTTTCCTTTGCTTATGAAGCTTAGTTTGGCTGGATATGAAATTCTGGGTTGAGGCTGGGCACTGTGGCTCACGCCTGTAATCCCAGCACTTTGGGAGGCCGAGACGGGCGGGTCACGAGGTCAGGAGATTGAGACCATCCTGGCTAACACGGTGAAACCCCATCTCTACTAAAAATAAAAAAAAAAATTAGCCGGGCGTGGTGGTGGGTGCCTGTAGTCCCAGCTGTTCGGGAGGCTGAGGCAGGAGAATGGCATGAACCCGGGAGGCGGAGCTTGCAGTGAGCCGAGATCCTGCCACTGCACTCCAGCCTGGGTGACAGAGCGAGACTCCATCTCAAATAAAATAAAATAAAATAAAATAAAATAAAATAAAATAAAATAAAATAAAATAAAATAAAATAAATAAAATAAAATAGAAATTCTGGGTTGAAAATTCTGTTTTTTAAGAATGTTAAATATTGGCCCCCACTCTCTTCTGGCTTGCAGGGTTTCTGCCAAGAGATCCACTGTTAGTCTGATGGGCTTCCCTTTGTTGGTAACCCAACCTTTCTTTCTGGCTGTCCTTAATATTTTTTTCTTCATTTCAACCTTGGTGAATCTGACGATTATGTGTCTTGGAGTTGCTCTGCTCAAAGAGTATCTTTGTGGTGTTCTCTGTATTTCCTGAATTTGAATGTTGGCCTGTCTTGCTAGGTTGGGGAAGTTCTCCTAGATAATATCCTTCAGTGTTTTCTAACTTGGTTCCATTCTCCCTTCACTTTCAGTTACACCAATCAAACGTAGGTTTGGTCTTTTCACATAGTCCCATATTTCTTGGAGGATTTGTTTATTCGTTTTCATTCTTTTTTTCTAATCTTGTATTCATGTTTTATTTCATTCAATTCATCCTTAATCTCTGATTTCCTGTCTTCTGCTTGATTAGTTCGGCTATTGATACTTGTGTAAGTTTCACGAAGTTCTCGTGCTGTGTTTTTCAGCTACATCAGGTCATTTATGTTCTTCTCTACACTGGTTATTCTAGTTAGCAATTCCTCTAACCTTTTTTTCAAGGTTCTTAACTTCCTTGCATTGGATTAGAACATGCTCCTTTAGCTCAGAGGAGTTTGTTATTACCCACCTTCTGAAGCCTACTTCTGTCAGTTTGTCAAACTCTTTCGCCATCCAGTTTTGTTCCCTTGCTGGTGAGGAGTTGTGATCCTTTGGAGAAGAGGCATTCTGTTTTTTGGAATTTTCAGCCATTTTGTTCTGTTTTTTCCTTATCTTCGTGGTTATCTACCTTTGGTCTATGATGTTGGTGACCTGCAGGTGAGGTTTTTGTGTGGAAGTCCTTTGTGTATGTAAATAAATATACACATATGTATTCTTTTTTTTTTTTTTTTTTTTTTTTTTTGAGAGGGAGTCTCGCTCTGTCTTCCAGGTTGGAGTGCAGTGGCACAATCTTGGGTCACTGCAACCTCTGCCTCCCGGGTTCAAGTGATTCTCCTGCCTCAGCCTCCCAAGTAGCTGGGACTATACATGTGTGCTACCACAGCCGGCTAATTTTTTTGTATTTTTAGTAGAGACAGGGTTTTACTGTGTTAGGCAGGATGGTCTCGATCTCCTGACCTCATGATCCACCAACCTCGGCCTCCCAAAGTGCTGGGATTATAGGCATGAGCCACTGCGCCCGGCCACACATATATATTCTTAATATAGTGTATGAATATACTACATATAGTATATTCTCATATTTGTATATATTTCTATAGTATATTTCTTTTAAATCAATTTTTAGTATTGATTTATTTTTTAACTCATATTGTGCATTAAATACATATTTTAAGCATTAATATAAGAATACAATATTTTCTTGCAGTTATTTTTCATTTTCTGTGTTTTTAAATTAAAATTCCATTTTAATTTAATTCTATTCTTTAAATTCCTATTTCCTGCCTGTCTATGAATGACTTTCTGAATTGCCTTTCCTACAAGTATCAACTACTCACCCTTCATTGTCAATAAAGTACTAATCTTATTCCCCTTATTGTTTGCTTTATTAAACTCTCTGTCACCCACAATATGCAAAGATATTTGAAACAGACTGTATGCTATTTTGTTGTGTTTTCAACAGATGTCTACTTAATTGGAACTTCTCCTAACCAGGCCAACTATGTTAGTTTCCTAGAAACATAGAAAGATTACAACCATACATTTTCTCTGTTTGAAGTCATAGCTTCAAAATATCTATATAAACTGTCTGCCAATTACATTGCATATTGCATGCATTTACACACACACACACACACACACACACACACACACATATGTAATCTCTTTTAATAAAAGCAAAACTCTTTATTGCTTTGTTGGTGGGTCCTCCTCACATTCATATAAGGGAAAAATGGTGCAGCTTTGGAGGAGAATCATGAAAATGCCAAAAGTGGAAAAAACAGGAAATACTCAAATTACTATATGATAATATAGGAACAAGAGATCAAGATTAATATATATGATTTTTCTAACATGCATGACTTTGGGAGTTTAAAAAAGTAAATAAAGGAGCTCATATTTTTCATGCCATAACTTGGGAGTAGATTCATGATCATCAAAATTTTAAACAATGTTTTCTCACATATTTGTACAGAAACATAATTTCTTGGGTTTTGATAATGTGTTATAGTAGAAATATGATTTAATAAAATTTAATAAATTTATATATATACAAATGAAAAAATGAAGTTTGTGATTTTAGCATCTATGTTTATATTCCCAGCCCAGACTTCTCCATGGAATTCGTGATTTGTGTTTTCAGTTGCCCCCTTGTTATCACTGCATGGATATCATTCTTCTGCTCGAAGCCCTCTAATGGCTTTCCAGTTCACTCTGGTATGGACTGAATGTTTGTGTCCTTTACTCCAATTCATATGTTGAAACCTTACTCCTCAATGTGATGTTGTTAGAGGGTGAGGTAATTAGGATTAGATGATGTCATGAAAGCAGAGCCCTCAAGAATGGCATTAGTGTCTTCCTAAGAGTCCCAAGAAAGCTTGCTTATCTCTCTGCTCCATCATGTGAGGGTATAACTAAACGTTAGCAGTCTTCAACCCATAAGAAGGTCGTCATCAAAACTTGTCCATGAACTTATCATCTCCAGAGCTGTGAGAAATAAATTTTTGGTGTTTGTAAACCACCGAGTCTATAGTATTTTATTGTAGCAGTCCAACTGAGGAACCAAGACATATTGTAAGTGAAAGCATGAAGTGTTACCAAAACCACATTGTGTGTGGGTTCTGTATTCAAAAGTAATCAACCCTGTATATCTGTGCTTTGCAATGTGACTTTTCAGTTTCTCTCTTTAAGGCAGAACTCATTTCTTAACCTCTTGCATCTAGATTGGTCTTGTGATCTCTTTTAGCCTAATGGAATATATCTGAAGTAATGGTGTAATGCTGTTTAGCCTACAACTCAAGATGCCTTTCTCACCACTATTATCTTTCTTGGGCACCTGCCTTCTCCATGAGAAGAAACTGACTTGGCCTTATGGAAAATAAGAGATCATTTGGAGTTGAACCCATTAACCCCAGCCAAGGACATACTAGACTAGCCTACACCCAGGGAAACCCAAAATCTGTGAAAAATATATAAAAACAAATTTAATAAAGTTGCTTGCCTGATTTACAGCCAAATGCAGACACGAGTGAGTCTAGACAAAATCTAAGTATATACAGAAGACCCGGAGACACATGAACTATATACATGTTTTTTGTTTCATATAAAGCTCACAACTGGGTTTTGTTTTGTTTTGCTTTTTGTTCACTGCTGTTTTCGAGATCAATTGCACAACAAAATGACTACAGTTAATACGAATATATTATCTATTTCAAACTTGATGAGAGTTAATTTCAAATGTCTCACTACAAAAAAAAAATGATTGGTGAAGTGATGGATATGTTAATTAGCTTAATTTAATCAGTCCACATTGTATACATACATCACAACACCAAACAGTAACCCACAAATATATACAATTGTTATTTGTCAATTAAAGTAATATTTCTAAAAAGGAAGATGTCTGACATGTAAATACTCAAAATAATTAAATGGAATAGTTTTTAAATTCTAATTGCTATATTTTTTCAATAGAATATGTGGCTTTCAATTTGTTACTATTAGTTTTTATAATGAATTCTTTTTCTGAACATAGTTTGAATACTCATTTTACTCATTTTCAGGAAAAAAAACAGGTGCTGAGTATAAATTGTAGAACCATTAATGCACATCAGAATGGCAAAATGTTAAAAATTGTTAATATAATTTTTATGAGAAAATAAGATTCAGAATTTTCATTGGTTGCTGGAATGTGTATGTTCTGATGAATACATTCTGGAGATCAGAATGGTAGTGATAAGTTAAATTAAATATATTTGTTTTACATCCCAGCAATCTTCTCCTAGGTAAATATCCCAGATGAATTCTTAAAGTGTCTAAAGAAACATTTACTAAAATGTTAACCATAGCTTTATTTGTTAAATGTGTGATTGCAGAGGCAATGAAGTAATTCACCAAAAGTAGAATGAAAAAATAGCATTTAGTAGATGTACACTCCTGAATATTATGGGAATCTGCAGCATCATTGCAGATGTACCATTGAATGACAGGAGAAAATCTTAAAATCATGCTTCGAAAAATAGAATACAATCTATATCACGTCGCCATTTTATTTCATAAATTAAAATATATAACCATAGAATTTACACTTTTTTTACAATAATGCACACAAGTAAAAAGATTTCCATCAAATATGTTAAGATAATTTCTTAGGGTGCAATAGAAAAATGGAAGCAGTGAACAGGAATAAAGTAGAGTAAATGTGGATAAATGAAATGTTAGGAGTTTGTGCAGACCAGTGTTAACATGCCGTATACTGCCTATGATTGAGTGTCTGAATCTGAGGTCTAAAACTGTGTAAAAAATAATAAAAGATAACAAGGTGGATGGGAAGTTAAACAATGTCAGTTCTGCGAATTACAGGATTTTTTTGTAGGAGAAATAACACAAAAAAATTGCTATATGATTTTTACAATATGTCTTGAGATTTGAGGTAGAAGAAGGCTGACTTGTTCCTGTTTTACAAGAGGAATTTATTGTGTTCATTTGTCATTGTAAATTTACATAGTCATACATTATTCATATTAGCAATTTATCTTTTAAGTATGTAGGTGAATCTGGGAAAACTGATTGAATATTTGTGGGGAAATCTTTAGAACTACTTGAGAAAAGCATAGGACTCAAAAACCCTCAAATATTTCAGAAGTTTTTATTTGATTATCTATGGTTGGTATTAAATTTCAAGGATTGCTCTCTGTCTAATTTAACATAGAATGGATGTTCCTGGGCTGATTTGTGTTCCATGATTACACTTATTATAGTTAATCTGATGATATTTTCTATTGAAAAATTATATAGTTGGCTCTCTGTAACCTCAGGTTTTGCATATGCGAATTCAGCCAACCATAGATGAAAAGTATTTGAAAAAAATTTAAAAATACAAATAAAAAAGTACTGTATAACAAATATTTATGTAGGATTTACATTGTATTAAATATTATAAGTATTCTAAAGATGATTTAAAGTACATGAGAGGATGCACATAAGCTAGATGCAAATACCACAGCAATTTCTGTAAAGAACTTGAGTATCCATAGTTCTTGGTAGAAAGGTGCCCTGAAACTAATCCCCACCCCCACCCCCGCAAATATTAAGATATGACTGTGATTTAAGATGTTTAATTTATTCCATATATACTTCCAGTTTTCACCATGCTATTGACTTTTTTCTTTCCATGCTCATCACCAATAACCATTTTGTCAATATCCAAGAGATTTTCTCTGATTGTCTTGTTGATCTACCTGGTTGCTTTCCACATAGTTGATTCTCTATTCTTTTTGGAAACAGTTCCTGATTTTACTTTTCAGTTGTTAGATGATCCTTCTAATTTTGTTTTTGTGCTCTCTTTTCTAATGGATCTCCCCATATTCCTAGTGTTGGAGTGTTCAGAATTTAGTTGTGGGCGTTCTCCCAGTATATTATTGATATTGACATCTCCATTTAGCTTTTGCTTAAAAATTTCGAAGTTCAAATAAAACATTTGATTGCTATCTCTACCACTCATATCTGTTACTAGTCTTCTCCATCCTAGTTAAAGTTTTTAGCATTGGCCAGGTGTCACAGTCCAGTAATACTGTTTAATTTTTCATGTCCTGTAGCTTGCATGTCAACAAATATTGATATTAGTGGTCCCAAATCATATCTCAAATGCATTCATTTATCTTCATTTTTTCTGTTACCATATTCTACATCATTATTATCTCTAGTCTGAACTATTATGGTCTCCTAAGTTGTCTCACAGCCTCCTCTTTCTCCTCTCCTCCAATTCATCCACTTAATGTGGATTACTTCTATCTTAACACAGTTAGCGACTTTCCCATTGCTCTTCACTGCCACCAGTAAGCTGTGCCTACTCTGGGCCCTTGGCTCTATTTCAACCCATTCTATCTCATTTTGTTATTCCCCAGTTACACTGGCTTCGTTCTTCTCAAATGTGTTTTCTTGTCCTAAAGATTTTATAGTCTGCATAGATGGGTTTGCTCTGACTTCCCATATGAATGGCTTCTTTTCTTCCTTTTAATCTCAAGTCATATATGATGGATTCATGAGATAGCTATAGATCTATTTTTATCATTCTTTTTTTTTTTTAAGGAGTCTCACTCTGTTGCCCAGGCTGGAGTGCAGTGGCCAGATGTCGGCTCACTAAAACCTCTACCTCCTGGGCTCAAGTGATTCTCGTGCCTCAGTCTCCCAAGTAGCTGGGACTATAGGTGTGCATCACCATGCCTGGGTAATTTTTTTATATTTTTAGTAGATATGGGGTTTCACCATGTTGGCCAGGATGGTCTCAGACTCCAAATTTTCGCTCTTTAATGTAGCTCCTGCGTTCACTCTCGGTTCTCTTTAAACATCCCTTTCCGAAGTTGTATTAGTGCATTTATGTACTTGTGTATTGTTTATTTTCACTCCCATAATAACAGGGCTGCTGTCATTTCTATTCATTGCTCTTATATGTAGTGTCTAAAAATGAGAATGACACATAGCAGACTTTTAATTCACACTAACAAAATGAATGATAAGTGTTTTTTTCTCTGTAAATAGTACAAACTATTGAACTTCTTCTGTAGTGAAGAAAACCAGTTGTTTTTAATAACTATTGTGGATAATCTCATTTTATGCTATTATTAATCTATTGTAGATATCTACTGTAGATAATCTCATTTGAATTTACACATATTAAAATTAGTTTTTTAAAATAAGTATAAATTGTTAATTCTAATTTTTAATATTTAATTCAAATGATTGATATCTATCTCTACTTGTATATTATAAAGTTATTAGGCACAAAAAATAACCTTTACTAATTTTTTATTCTTATATCTGGTAACTATTTCACATATCTGCTCTTGTGTGATAAAACGCTTCAAAGTGAAGGACTTAAAACAATAATCTATTGTTAGCATATCCATGACTGTGGATTAGCGAGGTACATTAGTTTTTACCTCTCTCTCTCTGCCATACTGTCTTGCGTCTCAGTCGGCATAAACCAAATGGCCTTAACAATTTGATTGTTAAATCCATCTAGAATAATTGGAGACTATCTGAGGCTTTCATTTTCGTTCTCTTCCTTGTAAGACCAATTCACGTGAGTGGTTGGACTTCCTCACAGTATGGTGGCCTCAGAATAGTTGTAAATCTTACTCTGTGGCTCAGGGCTGATTCAAGATGAAGTAAGAAGGAATACATCCACTTAATTCTTGACATAAAATTGGTATAATATGGTTGGTGGCACGCTTTGTTGTTCAAAGCAATCTCAGACTAGCCCACATCCAGGGGAGGGGCATAAAATCTACCTCTCAATGTGATGAGGACCGAAGAATTTGTGACCATCTTTATTTAGCTGTATCCAATACATAGCAGTCTTATTATAAGCAGATTATTTCACACTATGGTTAGATTTTGTGATACTCAGCTTATTTTAAAATACTTAATTGTTCAAATTTGCTAATCACGTACAATATTATCTGACAAGTATATATTTTATTAAAATAGTTTGAGAATTTGAGAAATTTTAAATTTCTTTTGACACTAATAATCTATGAGTATGTGATTTGCTTACTAAAATGTTTCCTTTTAACAGACTTTATCTCTTAGATCAGTTTTAGGTTCTCAGTAAAATTGAGCATAGGTATGCAATTGTCTGTGTACCCCCTGCCACCACAGATACATAGCATCCCTCATTATCAACAGTCCTCAGTGGTGTGGTATGTTTTATTACAATTGATAAACCTAAATTGACTCATCATTATAATTGACTCATCATAATAAGTCTGTAGTTTATGTTATGATTCACTCTTGAGGTTGTGTGTTGTGCATTCTCTCGGTTTTGGCCAATTAGTAATGATGTGTATTCACCATTATAGTGTCATGCATAATAGTTTCACTGTCCTAAATATCCTCTGTGCTCTGCCTGTTCATTTGTCCCTTACCTCTTCTCCCTGGTAACCACTGATCTTCTCACCCTCTCCATAGTTTTGCCTTTTCCACTATGGCATATATTTGGAATATACAGGGTGTAGCCTTTTCAGACATTTTTTTAAGCTTAGAAGTATTTATTTAAGAACACTCCATGTCTTTTCATGGTTGACAGATCACTTCATTTTAGCATTAAACAATATCCCATTGGTTGGATGTACCACAGTTTATTTATCTATTCACCTACTGAAGGGAAACTTGGTTGCTGCCAAGTTTTGGCAATTATGAGTAAGGCTGCTATAAACATCCATGTGAACGTCTTTGTGTGGACATAAGCTTTCATTTCCTTTGGGTAAATTCCAAGAAGTATGATTGCTGGGTCACAATAGAAGAATATGTTTAGTTTTATAAGAAACTCTCAAACTGTCTTCCAGAATGGTTGCACCATTGTGGATTTGTACCAGCAATGAATGAGAGTTTCTGTTGCACTACATTCTCACCCTTCTGAATTGTGGTGGTGTCACTGTTCTGAATTTTGGCCATTCTTATAGGTATATACTTGTATTTTATTATTGTTTTAATTTTCATTTTCCTTATTACAGATGATGGGGAACACCTTTTTGTAAGTATGTTTTTTATCTGCAAATATTTGGTGAGATGTCTGTTAAGTTCTTTAGCTCACATTTTAAATGGATTATTTTCTTATTGTTGAGTCTTAAGAGTTCTTTGTATATTTTTGGTAAGTCCTCTAGCAGATGTTATTTTTGGACATGTGGCTTGTCTTCTCATTGCTTTGCATTAACTACACAGAGCAGAAGTTTTTAATTTTAATAAAGTCCAGCTTATTAATTAATTTTATGATGGATTGTACCTTTGTTGTTATATCTAAAAACTCATAACTATACTGGAAATCATCTAGGTTTTTTCCTATGTTATCTTCTAGGAATTTACTAATTTTGTGATTTATATTTATAGCAATGACCCATTTTGAGATAATTTGTATGAGATGTGTAATATCTGTGTTTATATTCATGTTTTTGCATGTAAATGTTTATTTGTTTTAGTATCTTTTTTTGAAAATACTTTGATCCATTGTATTGCCTTTGTTCCTTAGTCTAAGATTGGTTAACATTATCTATGTGGGTGTATTTCTGGGTTCTCTGTTCTATTCCATTGGATCTATCTGTCTGTTTTTTTTGTCATCAGTATCACATTGTATTGATTACTATTGCTTTAAGTTTTTTTGTTTTGTTTTGTTTTTTGTTTTTGTTTTTGTTTGTGTTTTTTGTTTTTTTGAGACGGAGTCTCGCTCGGTTGCCCAGGCTGGAGTGCCATGGTGCCATCTCGGCTCACTGCAAGCTCCGCCTCCCAGGTTCACACCATTTTCCTGGCTCAGCCTCCCAAGTAGCTGGGAGTACAGGCGCCCGCCACCACGCCAGGCTAATTTTTTGTATATTTAGTAGAGAGGGGGTTTCACCGTGTTAGCCAGGATGGTCTTGATCTCCTGACCTAGTGATCCACCCGCTTCAGCCTCCCAAAGTGCTGGGATTACAGGCTTGAGCCACTGCGCCCGGCCTATTTTAAGTTTTGAATTTGAGTAGTGTCAATCTTCCTACCTTGTTTTTCTTCTCAATATTGTGTCTAGTATTTTGGGCCTTTTGCTTCTACACATATATTTTAGAATCAGTCTGTCAATATCCACTAAATTACTTGTAAATTTATTGAGATCAATTTTAATCTATAGATCAAATTTTGAAGGACTTACATATAGACAATATTAAGTCTTCCTATCCATAAACTTAAAATAACTATATTTATTTAGTTCTTTTTGACTTCTTTCATCTGACTTTTGTAGCTTTTCTCCTGTAGATATTATACATGTTTTGTTTGGTGGACTTACAAGTATTTCATACTTGGGGTGCTAATTGAAATAGTATTATGTTTTGAATTTAAAATTCTACTTGTTCATTGGTGGCATATAGGAAAGAAATTAAGGTTTTTATATTAACCTTATATACTGCAACCTTGTATGTTTGCCAAGTAGTTCCAAGAGGATTTTTGTTGTTGTTGATTTATTTGGATTTTGCACATAGATACGGTGTCATCTGTGAACAGAGGGGGTTTTATTTCTTCCTTACCAATCTGTATACATTCTATGTTCTTTTTCTATCTTACTGCATTGACTAGTACTTCCAACACAATGTTGAAAAGGAGTGGTTAGATGGAACATTTTTGTTTCTTTCCTAATATTAATGAGAAAGCTAATAGTTTCTTACCATTAAGTGTGATGCTAGCTGAGCTGTAATTTATTTTGTAGGTATTCTTTACCAAGTTGAGGAAGCTTCCCTCTATTTCTAGTTTACTGAGACTTTTTATCATGAATGGCTGTTGGGTTTTGCCAAGTGCTTTTTTTGCATCTATTGATAAGATCATGTTATTTTCTACAATGTTATTTTATTACTGATTTGATAGATTACATTAGTTGATTTTTAAATATTGAACCAGGCTTGCATACCTGAAATAAATTTCACTTAATCAAAATATATAATTATTTTTGTGCATTGATGGATTTAATTTGCTAATATTTTGTTGGTGATTTTTGCATCTGTACTCATGAGAAATATTATTCTGTAATTTTCTTGTAATACCTTTTTCTGGTTTTGGTATTATAGTAATGCTAGTTGCATCAAATGACTTAGAAAGTATTCCCTCTGAATCTATCTTTTGATAGAGATTGTAGATAATGGCATGCATATATATCTATATCTATATCTATATATGTATGATAGTAAGGAAGAAATATAACTGTCTGTTCACAAATAACTTAGTCCTCTGTATGGAAAATCCAAGATATCTATTTAAAGATAGATAGATAGATGATAGATAGATAGATGATAGATAGATAGATAGATAGATAGAGATAGAGATATATAGATATATATAGATATAGATATTGATATAGATATATCTTAAATTCTTGGTAGAATTCATCAGTAAACTCCTCTACATCTGGTGCTTTATGTTTTGTAAAGTTATTAATTATTGATTCCATTTATTTTATAGATACAGGTCTATTCATATTGTCTATTTATTCTTAAATGAGTTTTGACAGTCTTCATTTCATCAAGGTTACCAGATTTGCAGTAATAGAGTTCACTGTATTCTATTATTATTACTTTAATGTCCATGGGATCTTTAGTAACGTCCTCTTTTTATTTCCGATTGAGTAATTTGTGTCCTCTCTTTTTTTTCCTTCTAGAGATGCATCAATTTTACTGACTTTTTCAAAGATCCAACTTTTGTTTTTGTTGATCTTCCTATTGATTTTCTGTTTTTAATTTTATTAATTCCTGCTCTAATTTTTGTAATTTTTTCTTCTACTCACATTAAATTTAATTTGGTCTTCTTTTTCTCATTTCTGAAGAAGGAAGGAGAGATCATTCATGTCAGATCTTTACTCTCTTCTAACATACGCTTTCAGTATAAAATTACCCTCTAAGCACTGCTTTCACTTCATCCTACAAATTTTTGATAAGTTGTGTTTTTATTGCTATTTAGGTCAAATTATTAATATTTTCAAATTCTCTTGAGATTTCAGCCTTGACTTATGTGTTGTTTAGAAGTACTTTGTTTAATCTGTATGTATTTTGTGATTTTCCAGCTATTTTTCTGTTTTAATTTCTAGTTCAATTGCATTGTGAACTGAGGGCAAAAATTGTAAGATTTCTATTTTTAAAAATTTTATTAAGGTTTTTTAAAGGCCTGAAATATGGTTTATCTTGGTAAATGTTCCATGTGAGCTTGAGAAGGATGTATGTTATGCTGTTGTTGCCTAAAATATTTATATATGTCGATTATATCTATTTAATTATGTTGTTGTTTTGAAGTATATTTTTACAGACTTATTTCCTGCTGGATCTGTTCAAAGATAGAAAGATATTAAAGTCTCCAATTATAATATTGGATTCATCTATTTTTTCTGGCAGTTCTAATCACTTTTTGCGTAATATATTTTGATGGTCTATTGTTAGACAATACACCTTAAGGATTGTTATGTGTTCAGGAAGAACTGACTCCTTTATCATTATTTTGACCTTCTTTATGTCTGATAACATTCCTTGCTTTGAAATTACTCTGTCTGAAGTTAATATTACTAATCTCACTTTCTTTTGCTTAGTGTTAGCACGGTATATATTTCTTCATTAATTTATCTTTAACCTATTGGTGTCTTTATCTTTGAAGTGTTTCCTGTAGACAACATAGAGTTAGTTGAATCTGCTTTTTTTTGATCCAGTCTTAAAAATATCTATTTTTTAAGTAGTGCATTTAGACCATTGATATTTAAAGATATAGGTGGAATAATATCTAACAATTTTTTTTACTGTTTTCCATTTGTTTTTATTGTTCTTTGTTCCTTTTTGGTCTTCCACTCTTTGTCTGCCTTTTGTGGTTTAAAGTGACCATTTTATAACATTCCATTTTCTCTTCTTTTTTAATATATTAATTGTCTTCATTTCTTACTCAATTTTTTAGTGGTTGCCCTAGAATTTTTAATATACATCTATAAATAATTCAATGCACTCTCAGATAACACTATATCACTTCACATGTACTGCCAGTAATACTACAAATAACAAAGTAACAAAATAACCAAATGTTTATAATTTCTCTCTTCTGTCACCTGTATCATTGTTGATATTTTTATTTCACTGATACAAAAGCACAAACACACTCAGACACACACACACACACACACACACGCAGATAATTAATGCCATTGCTGAAAAAAAATCCAGGAAGCTCAGAGAACTTCAGGTATATACATATATATAATGTTATACATTTTAAAACATGTATGTAGGTACATAAAGTTGATTCATGAACAATAGGGTTTGAGTGACACTGACCCTCCATACAGTAGAATATTTGTAAATAACTTTTGACTGTTAAAATTTAACTACAAATTGTCTACTGTTGATTGGAATCCTTGCCAAAAACAAAAACCATGAATTAACATGTATTTTTGTGTGTTTTATGTATTATATGTTGTATTCTTACAACAAATTAAGGTAGACCAAAGGAAATGTTATTTAAAAATGTATAAGGATGATAAAATATATTTACTATTCATTAAATGGAAGTGGATTATCATAAAGGTCTTCATCCTTATTGTTTTCACACTGACGAGGCTTAGGGAGAAGAGGAAGAGAAGAGATTGTTCTTACTGTTTTACAGGTGGCAGAAGTGGAAGAAAATATGCATATAAATTGACCTGTGTTGTTCAGACTGATGCTGCATAAGATTAAACTATATACGCATATATATTTGAATGCATTGAGAACACTGAGCATATATATGTGTATATATGGATACATAATGAAACACATTCATTGCTTCTATTTTTTTAGAAAACTATCTGTTAGACCAATTAAGAATAAGGAAAACAAAAACTTTTATTTTATATTTAATCATTCCTTTTCAGGTGCTCTTTTATAAATGTTGATCTGAATTTTGGACACATTTTTTTTTCCTTCTCTCTAAGTACTTTCTTTTAACACTGCATGCAAGACAGATCAACTGGTAACAAATACTTTCATTCATTTTTTTTCTTTTTTTTGAGACGGGAGTCTCTCTTTATTGCCAGGCTGGAATGCAGTGGCATGATCTCGGCCCCCTGCAACCTCCACCTCCTGGGTTCAAGCGATTTTCCTGTCTTAGCCTCCCAAGTAGCTGGGACCACAGGCGCACACCACCATGCCCAGCTAATTTTTGTATTTTTAGTAGAGACGAGGTTTCACCATGTTGGCCAGGATTGGTCTCGATCTCTTGACCTCATGATCTGCCTGCCTCGGCCTCCCAAAGTGCTGGGATTACATGTCTGAAACAAATACTTTCAATTTTTGTTTGTCTTAGAAAGTCTTTATTTCTCCTTCAGTTTTGAAGAATAATTTCATAAAGTACTGAAATCTAGATTGGTGGATTTCTCTTGTTGTTGTTGCTGTTGTTGTTGTTCTCTGTTTCTCAATACTTTAAACATTCCACTTCACTGTTATCTTTCTTGTAATGTTTTTGTGTTTAATTTTTATCGTTACTTCTCTATAGGTATTTTTTTCTCCTGTAGCTTCTTTCAGGATTTTTGCTTCATCTTTCATTTTTTGTAATATCAAATTGATATGTTTATTTGTAGTTTTCTGGCATTTATCTAGCATGGTGTTCTTGGAGCTCACTGGATCTATCATTTGATATCTGGCATTAATTTTGGAAAATTCTCAGTAATTTTATTGCTTCAAATATTTCACCTGTTTTTTTTTTTCATTTTCCTTCTCCTTTTGGCATTCTAAATACAGGTGCTCCTTGGTTTTTAATAAAGTTATATCCCAATAATCCAATCTTAAGTTGAAAATATTGTAACTGAAAGGTATTTAATACACATAGCCCACAAAACATTATGGCTTAGCTTAAAATATACATGCTCAGAACACTTACATTAGTCTAGAGGTAGTCAAAAATCATCTAATACAAGGCATATTTTATAATAAAGTGTTGAGTATCTCATGTAACATATTGACTATTGTGCTGAAAGTAAAAACAGAGTGGGTGTATGGGTACTCAAAGCAAGAATTCCACTGAATGTGTATCGTATTTCCATCTTTGTAGTAAGAAAAATCACCACTCGAACAATTGTAAGTAGCAGATCATCTGTCTATATACATGTGGCACATCTTTTGTAGTCGTCCTATAGTTCTTAGATATGCTGGTGTTCTTTCTTTCTTTCTTCATTATGTTTCTATTTGTTCTTCCATCTTGGAGATTTATACTGATATCCTCAGGGCAGAGAGTCTTTCCTCAGCTGTATCCAGTCTGCTGATAAGCGCCCATCAAAGGCATTCTTCACTTCTATTACTGTGTTTTTAACCTCTAGTATGTATTTAAGCATTGACTCAAATTTCCATCTATCTGTTTACATTGTCCATGTGTTCACGTAGGCTGTCCACTTTATCAGTTAGAGACCTTAACTTAATCACAGTTGTATTAAATTCCCAGTCTGAGAATCCCAACATCCCTGCCAAATCTGCGACTGTTTTTTGACAGTTGCTCTATCTCTTCAAGTTATTATTACTTGTCTTTTACTATGTGTTGCAATATTTTATTGACAGCTGGAAATGATGTACTGCGTAAAAGGGATTAGTATAAATACGTTTTTATGAATATGGTGGTAAAATCTAGCTTGAAGGGAAGCATTCCATGGTTTCATGATTAAGTCTCAGTCCTTAGTGAGCCTGTGGCTCTGAATTGTGAACTTCATTTGTGTTTCTTTGTAGTATTTTTGTTTATTTTTTAACACCCTTGGGTGACACAGGATAATCACAGTTATTTTGAGTGGGATATTTCCCTTCCCACAAGTAAGTTAAGCTCTGTTAGAACCCCAGCAGGTTAGACTATGGTTAAATAGCTTCTCCTGAGAGCAGACCTTGTTAAGAACAGAATCCTCTGAAGTAGTTTTTAAAAGTTAATTTTCTCTGCCTCTGCCAAAGCATAAGTAGATTTTTCTCTGATGTTCACTGTGAGGACCTGGTAGAGTACCTGGTAGTAGTAAAATTCACTTAAGTGTGGCCTCCTTTTTCCTCATCCCCCATTGACTTGTGTCCCCCTGGAGTTTTCATCTTGCAGGTTTTGCTACGCTGGATCTTCAGCAATTTAGCAATTACAAGTTAAGTTTTCCTATCTCAGGACTGGTTCCTGTGGAGGTTGCTGCCTATGGGTTTCTGCTCCAGTAAGATCTGATTCTTTGTATTTGCCTGATGTTCTCTCAAATTCTGGTGGCAGCTGTTTGCCTATTATGTCACTTTGCTTACTGATTTAAGAAGAGTTGTTGATTTTTTAGTTTGCCACATTTTTTATTATTAGGATGGAGTGTTGATTTCCAAGCTTCTTAAATGCCAACTGAAAACTCCTAAAATGGTTTTTTTTAATCATCCCTGTGTCCTTTCCATTTCATGTTTATTTAAATAATAATATTCTGAAGAAAACAAGTACTGCTACTGACATTAAGTGTTAAGATATATAATACAATAATGTAGGAAGGTAAGATGGGACACGTTTTTAAGGATTAGTACTTTTACGGCACATTAACAGAGGTCTGTGGCGTAACTCCCTTATAATCTTCCCAAAATTAAATGACTGTGGATTCATAATAAGAAGAAAAATCCTTCATTACAATACAGAACTATAGGAAAAAAAATCACCAAAATGCCTGGAATGAAAAGAAATTTATCTTATTCAAAACACAAATAGATAAGATAAAATGATGGTATCATGGGTTGAACCACAGATCCATTCCTGTGGGACTGGCATATATTTCTGGAAATTCAGAAGGGAATATCCTGAAAAAAGTAGCTATAAACTGATAGTTTGGAAAGAATGAGGACTAGAATCTTAGCAAAAATATATTTCATAGAAAATATAATTAAAATTTATTTTATATTTGTCGATTATTTGATTTCAACATCAGCTCTGCTAGAGAGCCTTAAGTTCCAAGCAACAAATATACTAAGAATGGTTTAACATATCACATGCATATCGTTCACTGAATAACGCAAAAAAACTAATGTAGGCCCCAAAGCTTAAGGATGATTCAGTTGAAAAGACAATACATTAAACTGGTCATTGGAGAAGCAGGATTACCAAATATTCAAGAAATTGGTACACAGTGAAGTGGCCCTACTAGTATTGAATTTGTTTCAATGTACTTGTCTTGTCTTTGAAAACAACTTGATCTCTGAAATGATAGCACAAATATCCATTTATTCCTAGTGTATAGAGAATGGCAACTTATTGGGCAGAAGTAGAACAAAAGAAGTATCCATCTGCTTGTTAATAGATAATTAAGAGCTCCTATTAATTTTTACTCATTCAAGAACAGTGAAACAGAAAGACGGAATGCAATATATGTAGTGGATTCCTCAATAGAAATTATATTTTCCGAAAAAGGTGTACTTGGTCAGAAGGGGTAGATATTACAACAGTTTATGACCCTCCAAAGGGCCATGGTACATAGATATATTGTATAGCTGTGGAATGGAAATTTTATGGAGGGAGTGAATTAATAAAAAGAAATCAACAAAAGATCCTTAGAGGAATAAAAATGAGGAAAAAAGATTGGCAAACTACAGATTTAGATTCAAAACAAAGGAGAAATATTTTTTCTATTGAGAGTCAAATGAGTGTTGGGAATCACAGTTTCAGAATAAGAGTTTTTGTATATTTCCCAATTAAATTTGTCTAAAAATTAAGTTGTGCAGGATTTGGTTGATACAAATAAATCTGAAATCATTACACTCTGCGTGTTCCAGTTGGTCAGAGGTGGCTTTAGAAGCCCTGAACACGCAACGCAGCCTTCATTGGGTCCTGAGCCCTTATTGTGTTACAATCTACCTCTGTTCCCACTGAGCCCAACCCCACTGACATGGCCAAATTAACTTTAGTTCACAATAAAACCAATCAAGCTCTATCGATCTTTACCTGGTTTTCTTTTGCTCACTACTATCCTGAAGAATATAAAGAATCACAGCACTTGGGTATACACTGAATAAAAGCAGAAAACTGATCGTGGATTTCTTCCCCATTAGATTTTCAGCCTGAGAAAAGCTTGAGTTTGGAAGTTGACAAATTTTAAGTTGAATGAAAGTTCTTTGCAATGTTCCAGTTTGTTTTCTCTTTATTTACATGAGTCTGTACACAAACACTTAAAACCACTTATGTTTAAAACAATTTGGGGAATGTTTTGTGGCTACTATTAGGTCATTAACATAAGTTTTGAAACTCAATATAACTTATGAAATTTTTCAGGTTTGTGTAGCAATGCATAAGTCTATAACAATCTACCTTTTCTTATTATAGATTCATACTAGTTATAGTAGGAATGAATCATAAAGTACTTATTCTAATTAAAGTTTACATATTACTATTTTAAAAGGTATAATTCAGTAGTTTTTAATATATTCACTGATTTATGCAACCATTACCTCTTTCTAATTCTAGAACATTTTCGTCAACCCCAAATAAACACTATACTCATTAGCAGTCACTCTCCACTCCCACATAATCCTAGCCTCTGGAAACTACAAATCTCTATTATGTCATTCTATATTTGTCAATGAAGGCCATTTTATATGAATGGAATCATATAGTGTGTACATTTGAATTAGGCTTTTTTCACTTAGGACATCATCAAGTTGCAGTATGTGTCAGTAGTTCATTCCTAGTTATGGTAGAACAATATTCAATTGTTTTGAGCCAATATTCCATCTCACATAACTTATTTACTGGCACGCTCATGATTGTGTAAAAATATTATGCTATTCAATGTTTCATTATTTATTATAAATCATGGGAAACAACTTAAGTTTCTATCTAAAGAGAGCTGGAAGGGAATCACTCCTTGGACAGTGTGGTAAGCATCTTAAAAAAATTGATCCTCCATTTATGTGATAAGAACACTGAAAAAAATAGTCAAAATAAACTTTTTTCAAACTCTTTAAATGATAAAAGGCTTACAAAAATCTGAGGAGCATTTACTGAATGTAAAACACAAGGTTCTTGGCATTTTAACTTACATTATTCCTTTTACACTACCCCAGGTCTGTGGGAGCTTTGAAAACCAACAGGTAGCATGACAAACAGGAGAATGTGCAAACCATCAGCTTAATGACCACTGAAAAGTTCAAAGTGGATTTGAATTTTCCCCAAAGCACCACTCTAGATAGCTGTAACTATCTGAATAGGTGAAACAGAAAGTATATTTTTGATCTGTGAATCTATTCTGTATGGCACTATAATAGTGGATATATGACACTATACATTTGTCAAAGCCCACAGAATAATATGAAAAACAAGGTGAACTTTAATGTATGAAAAAATGTTAAGGAATAAATTATGAAGTTGGGGGATCCTAGGATGGAATTCCGACTGTCACAGAAGAATGTAATTATAATATGTGAGACAATTTCATGGAAGGGATAGGGAAAATGTTTTTGCCTATATTATTTTGAAAAAGAGTGGATATTATCAGACTAAACACAAAAGGATCAGTAAACAAGCAGAGTTTGTTTGGCAATGTTGTTATTCATGAGATTAAGCTAACAACGCTGAAGCCACTATAATTGAATACTGAAACTGAACAAGTAAGTAAGTGAATGGCAGAAGCTGACTCCTGGGAGCTAGATGTCTCACTGTTGGAATGAAAGGTTACAGACAGAGTCAAGGAGGCTAGAATAAACCATGTGATACCATGTTAAACACACACACACACTTTCAAGCTATGTTTGCTGAGAAGGTCTGCTGAGAAGCAGTGACACCTCAATAGCAATAAGCCGATCTTGTTTTTAAAAAACTATCACCCAATTAAAAAACGCAGGGATCCTTGACAAAAAGCAGACCCATGAATTGGCTAGGGAATATATAAGGTGAGCCTGGAGTAGTCTATGTGCCAGAGGGTAAGGATGTGCTCAAAAAGCACCATGGTGGAGACACTTCACAGGGACACAGGATCCAATTAAGAAACCTCCCAAGGGACAAAGCTGGAAGAATTTGAGCAACATAATGAATAAATATTGAATTACATATAAAAGAAATATCTATGGCTCCATTCTGGTGGAAGTTATTGAATAAGTTAGTAAATAAGGGAGACTAGAGAAAACACCCAATCAGAAGTATTTGAAAAAATTTATGTAGCTATCTCTACATTAAGAAGGTGGAACATAACTCTTCATTCCTTATGTGTATGGTGCACATGGCGAGTTTCTCCACAATAATATAGTTTGGAAAGCGTGGAAAATGAATAACTCCACAGTAAAGATCCTGATGAATACTATCTTAGTCAACATCAATAGTCATAAATCGCATTGATAGTATGTAGCCTTGACAGTAATGTAATGAGAAAGGTTCTTTAGCTCTGTATATTTCTTCCTCCTGAAAGCCTTCAACTCCAGTCTAGCAGGACTGGAGTCCTTCCAGTCTAGAAGGACATCAGTAAAACCTCAACTGAGAGGTTGTCTACAAAATATCTGACTAGTACTCCTTAAAACTGTCAAAGTCTTCCAAAACTAGGAAAGCCCGAGAAATTGTCACAATCAAAAGGATACTAAGTAGATACAATTATTAAAGGTAGTGTTTTATCCTGGAATGGGTCTTAAAACAGAGAAAAAGATACTAAGTTAAAAACTAAGGATATCTGTATAACATACGGACATTAGCTGATAATAATGCATCAATATTAATTTATTAGTTATTTCAAATGTATCATAGTAGTATCAAATCTTAAGATAGAAAAGTTGATGCATGCTATGGAGAAACTCTGTATAATGCTTGTAAGTTTCCTACAAACGGAAAACAATTTCAAAAGAAAAAAATGCATTTAAAATATCACAAAACACAAAGAAAAAAGAGATATAAATTATAAGGAAAATATAAAAATGATTAGATAATAAATACAGTGAAATAGGGATTTAAATAAAGATTTAAAATAAGAATATACAAAGGTGCAAATAGAGCAGGTGGAATTAATCACATAAAGAAGAAAAGAATAGTAACAAACACAAGACAGAGTTGTTTTGAAAGGTGGTGGGGTGGGGAATGTTTCTCTCTCACTTTACCACATTAAAGACATAAATCTGTTATCTTTGAGCTGTGAGGACTATACTGCCCACTGCACTGCAAATTGTATATACCATACTAGATTTTTCATTGTCTTTTCCATGAAATGAAGTTAAGAAAATTATTTTCCCTTTGCAGGTTGCTCACAGTTTTGTTTATGCATTTCCTTAAAATTAATTGTAGACTCCAGGACACAATAGTAGGCAATACAATTTTAGAATATAATATATAGAGGTATATTTAGCCTCTTTTAGAAGTCAGTGAATTGAATGTCTTTTTATTTCAAATTTTACATTCATTAAGGTGCCTCGTTTTTTACTTTGTCCATTAACATTTCTCCATATGACTTTGCAATAACTAGATTGTGAAAAGCTAACAAGTGTTGTAGCAACAATCCATTGTTTGAGTTGCTTGAAGTTGTCTTAAAGTGTTTTTTTTCCAAAAAAGAAAGAAATCTAACAAATACACATAGCCTACTGTCATTTTTGAATTTCCAGCATTAAGAAAAGTCTACATGCATTCAAACAAATAAAAAAACTCTGTGATGCCAGTAGTATATTTAGAGTTACAGAAAAAAATTGTAATTAGTACACTTTCAGCAAGTCAATATATTGTTTATACACAAAAATAACAAGAAAACACTTTTTTTCATGCAAAAACTCTGGCAGCATTCCAGAGGGAGTCTTCCGTATAATTTCTACATAATCAATCACAGTCATGATCATTTTACTATTATAGCTAATAATATTTGAACATTTATGATACACAAGTCATGTAATGCACCATTTTGTTTAAGCTGAACATTCAATTTTTATCATCTGTGTTTCATAGAAGAGTACAATGAGGCTCAGATAATTTAGTAACAAACACCAAATCATAAATGATTTAATTATTTATAGTGAACTGTATTTAATAATGCAGACATCTAGAAATAAATAAAAATTAAATATTTTTAAAAATTGAAATAATCTCCACAGATCTGTAATACATTATATTAGGATGTTGTTAACACCTGATGATATGATTTTGAAATATTGTGAACATATAAATAATTTAATATAGAGTTTTCTTTTAACTTTAGGGGACATAAATTTTCATTGCTAAAAGAAACATTTCACCATTTTTTTCTTCAAATTTCTGATTTTCTTTGTGTACATTAATGATTACTAAGGAATATAATCTATGTGGGGGCTTTTCTGGATGGACTGCATCCAAGTTCACATTCTATCTTATTTAATTGAGAATGCTGGAAGATTAGAGACTACTACATGCTGGAAGATTAGAGGCCACTATAGCCCAAACTCTCCTGAATCCAGAAACTTCACTTAAAACATTTCATGTACATTTTTGAGACTTGGAAGTGATGTCAGAGGCCACCTGTCTGGAGTGGCCACTGTTAAGGTGCCCGCTGCAGCGAGGAAGGCATGGCCGGGGGGCTACGCATGCAATGGAGCCGCCAGGAGCCTGGAAGAGGCAGGAACCCCGCTCCCTTATGCGTTGGTGGGGTGGGAGCCCTCCCCTCCCAGGTGTGGCTGCAGCCACCCAGCCGCAGCTCTGTACCCGGGCATCCCTACACTCTTGCTCCATGCATGGCTTACCCTTATCAGGCATGGGATCTTGGCGGGTAGGGTGTCTGCCGGGCCTAGTGTGCAGAAGGAGCCCAGCGGGTCCAAACAAATCTCAGGTAAAGGCGCCACTGGGCACAGAGGTTTCTGGCTGGTGAAATGACACTCGAAAGATCCTGTGACAGAAGCAAAAACGAGTCACAGATTATTATACTACAGTACTTGACTGCTAGCAGGCAGGGTGCTGCCAAGCAGGAGTATGGAAATATGAGCCATTCCTGGACAGTCTCCCACTCTCCATTTTTTTCTTCTGGGTGTGAGAGGTAGCCATGTCAAAAGCTATAATTTTTTTTCTTTTTTGCTTCTGGTTTACCCTAATGTAATTGGATTGAGTTGTAGTATTGCCCACTGTTGAATCACTTCTGTAATATTCTTGGAGACAAAATAGAGCCTGTTTTTCAGTCTTCCCATCTATTTTGTAAGCACCTTGTATTACATCCTCTCCTACCTGAAATTTTTAGACTGCTTTGTTTTGTTTCCCTAGTGGACAAATAGCATACATTCATTTTCATACTTCTGATTTAAATTAAAAATAAAAGTATGTGTCTTCACATACACAATAAAATCTTAAAATATTTATGGAACCTTGCCTGCTTAACATCTGTTGTGGAAGGCAGCACTCTAGAGCTGTACCCTTAGATTCCATCCATGCAGCGAAAAAGGATTCTGCTCTAGAGAGTCAGAAAGACTTGAGATCTTCTACTGAGCCTAGAGTTCTTGCTGGCATGTGAGGCCAGCCTGAATTCCACCTTCTGGTTCAGAGAAACAAAAGTGCTGAAAATTTTAGCAATGTTACTTATAATAATTGATTTTCTCAAAATATTTTTCATCTGGTGTCCTCCAAGCTCTCCAATATTTCATAATATTAAAGTTATTAGCAGGAAAAGTGTGACATGGCTTCTATCTTGCTGTAAAATTCATGAGTCTTTCAGTTATTTCTAGACTTCTGGAATAGACAGTGTTGCTCCAAGTGTTTATAAATAGTCCTAATAATATCTAGCATCTGCTCATGGGAGTATGTAAGAGTCGAGTGAGACGTGGAACTTTCTTCCCACCCCTCCCAAAATATTATAATTGTTGATGTTATAATAGTCCAGTATAGAAAGGCAGTGCATATTGTCTCAGGAACCTACAGAAACACATAGACTAGGGCCACTCTGCCCTCCTTACAAGTGTAAAATGCCTTACATCACAGGCTCATACATAGAAAAAGAAGATGATTTATGTAATTTTTTTTCACGTCACTCCACATTTTGCAAAAATTCTGTTTGAGGTTTAGGTTCTTGAATTTATCTTTTACAATCTAAATATCCGTTTTCTGTAATACTTCTTTTCTATATTTGATAATAAAAGAAAAAAATATCATTTAAGTTGTTCCAGATTAGCTCAATTGGTATTTTTTAGTCATAGAATCTGATAGTCTAAGCAACAATTCTGCAACTCTGAATATGTACTATATTTAAAATTAGGCATCTGAATAAACAGGTGTGAGCTAGTTCAAAGAAAAAAAACACCACTTTTTCTTCCTACTGTCATTAAACTCAAAAGTATATCACAAATTTACTTCTTTATGTATATCTTCCTAAGAAAATAACCACACTTATTTCATATGAATTGATGATGGTTTGAGTTAAGTTTATCATGAAGTATATTTTTATTCTGTATTTTAATGATAAAATCCCTTCAATTTATGGGAGAACATTTATTTGACATAGTGACTATGTCATTTAAATTATAGAATTTGCATCATGAATTATAAAGGGTTTGACTTTAGTATTTATAAAGAAACATCACTTGGAACTACCTTATTCAAGAGTCTTACTATAAACAATTGGTCAAATTTTATAATTTTGAAAAGAAATGCATGTTTCAAAATCAGTTAAAGGTTGAAACTTATCATTATATTTTATAATTTTTGCTCCAAGTGAGAAACTTCCCAAGATAGTCTTTGACATTGTATGACTGATGAAGCAAATTTTATCGTGCATGAAAAAGGAAGGTAAAATAGTCAATATATTTTATGATAGTATATATTTATCACATTGTTCTTGCAAAATACTATGTAAATATTTTCTATAATCTTCATTTTTTGTTAAACTGTAGTTATTTTTATGTTTTAGCTGTTATTTTATGATATACAATTTGAAGGAGTAATTTCAAACTTTTGCACAGAATTAATGATGTTAGGAAATACTTTTGTCATATGAAACTAGAGATAACCCAAAGAAATGATTAAAAAATACCATGAGTATAGAAATTACTACAAGCAGAAATAAATACATGCACACATACATACATACATATATCATATTCTGATATGTGTTGCTAAACTATTTTGTGCCTTATAAGTAGTTGGGAAATTACCAAAGCTGTATCATGTTTATTCATTGCCACTGGGCCATAACTAGTTTTTGATTTTTGATTTTTGTAAAAGCATTATTGTAATTACATATTACAATAATATGTAAATAAAAGTATTTACATATTATTTTTTGTAGCATTTTACTGCATTTCCCCCTCACACCTGTTTAATAAAAGGTAAAATAATGTATGTGGAAGTTAACAGTTTAACATGTTGCATATCAGCATAACATCAAACTGTGGTGTCTCAAATATAAATTTAAGGACACTTCACCTATGCCTGGGAATATTATTCAGTCTTCCATATAATGGTAGCAGCTACTCTGGAATTTCTCTAATGGAAGGGTATGGAGTTGGAATATGATTGTAAGGGGCAAGAGGACCAGGAAAGTCGTATGCATGAAAACATTATTTTAGTTTTGACTCTGCATGCTGGTGTGTCATGGTAGGTAGTGACAATGACTCCTCTTACGTGAATCCATGTTTGCATAGCAATTATAATGCATTTATTTACAGGATTTTTTTGGACAAATGAAGTATGGGTCTAATAGAGATGAGAAGTATGACAGTAAGGCTAATTTAAGCTTTTTTTTTTTTCCAACCCCATCAGGAGAACAAAAATTAACTAAATACCAAAACTAGCTATCTTTGAACAATGGGATGTTCCTAATCAGTTATTATTACAGGAACAAAGTGTATGATACCAGAATGGATATTCCCAAATAGAATGTGTCAAAATTCAACCTCAATATACATAGATTACATCACCTTTCAAGAAGTGATCTATAAAATGAACCTTCTCCACAAGCCAATCCAACAACTGGGTGGCTAGTTCACATTCTAAAACACTCCATATCTATTTATGCTGACTTTTAGAAGCTTTCCCATTTGTAACATTTCCTATACTCATTGAATATGATTTTTTTTTGCCCATCTTTTTACAACAGACTGATCTTTTCTAGGATTACTTTATTCAATTTTATTTTGAAGCATGTGGCAAATTTCAGACACTTCAGTTATACTTTATGTTGAATAAAAAAAGTATAAAAGAAGGAGAAAGAGAAAAAATAATAATTGATGCTATTAGTAATGCAAAAATAATGAATGCCTTTTTGCAGTTATTTAGATATTGTTTTATCACTGAATGTTTGTTATAATAAATATTAATTGTGAAAATTTAGAAATGTCAAAGTAATGTAAAAAGAAAATAAAGTGTGCTTTTATACACTCCACGTAAGAATACCAAATTTCAGAATGTACTTTTAAAAGAATATTACTCTTTATATTGCTATCCTAACCTGTTAATCTTTACAAAAATCAGACTACCCATTTCTGTGGATCATCTGTACCGTAGACTTAGGGAAGAAACAAACCAGAAGACAGACATATACTAAGGAACCAATATAAAAACCTTAAGTTTTTGGCTTGAGGTAATTAAATCTTAAAAAACAAAGTATTATTGCTATTCTTGAATAATTTTCCATGACCAGTCTTCCAGTTAATCTTTCACTTTGTTCCTGCAGGCCTCAGGCACACAATCTGTTTTCCCTCCTCACTAGCTCCCAACACATACTTCTCCCACCTGGCTTCCTTTTTTGCTCAAGCCTGCAGCGTACTAGGATGCTGTGTCTTCAACTTTTCTGAATTTTATCAGTTCATAAATATAACACAAAGACAATTTTAATTTAAACCAGTTTCCTATTAATTTCCAAGAGGAGATAAAAAAGAGAAACAAAAATAAACCAATTTAAAATATAAGAAACATAGAAGGAAAATGTAAATTTTCCAATATCTAAAAAACTCTCATTTTTTTTTTGTATAGACTCTAGTCCCTGCCTCACTTTTATAGACAGTATCCTAAATGCTTCGAAGACCTCTTAATGCCATTCTGTTATTCCTAAGGTTAGAAATTCTTCCTTCCTTGCCAGTACCAGGGAAAACAGAATTCTAGTTTTCCTCCCTCCCTCCTTACAGATTGTTTTCAATCAATCACTAATTGTTATTTTTTTATTCAATTAAACACTAGTCTAGGCACTCTTGTGAAGTGGCTTTGAAGATGAATGAATGAGGATATTAATCAGCTTACAATAAATTAGGAAGTTTATTGCATATTATCTGAATGGACTCGCTGTACTCACAAGTGCCTTTAAAAACAGTTAACAATAATGCATTATATAGATTCAAATAGCAAGAAGAATATTGAATATTCCCAACACACACAAAAAAAGATAAATGTTTGAGATGATGGATATGCTCATTACCCTGATCTGATCACTATACATTATAGACATGAAAACATTACAATGTACCCCATGAATATGTACAATTATTTGCCAATTTAAACATTAAATTTTATTTTAAAAAAGAAGAAAAGAAAAATGGAAGAGTCAGTTCATAATTTAACTGAAGAAGAGTCAGGAGACATAATATGGAAGGGAAAGCACTGTTGCTGGTACAGTGGACCATGTAGAGAGCTTGAGAAAAAGAGAAAGGTAGCCTCTGTGAACAAGGACCAGTCCCAACTGGAGGCAGGAACTTCAGTCCTGTAGCTGCAAATAATTGAATCTAGTCAACAAACTGAAGGAGACTAGGGACAGAATATCTTCAGAGCCTTCAGTGGCTTCACAAAGCCACTTAGATCCTGGCTTTGTGAAATATAAAGCAAAGACATCATTTGAGTCATCCTAGACTTCTGGACTGCAGAAAAATGAGATAATAAACTTGTGTTATTTTAAGCTACTACATTTGTGAATTTTTATGGCAGCATGGAAATCTAATACAAGTACAAAAGCCCAAATCTTAATTTTCTGCAAACTATTTGTCAACCTAAAAGACAGAGAGAGGCTCTGTAAAAGGAAATGGCATTTATTCTGGAATAGGGCATTACAATGGGAATACACATGCCATAGTAAACTATGTGTAAATTCAGGAAGGTAAAGGAAGACAAAGACTTTTAAAGAAATAAATGAGAAGGATTGCATCGTTGTTCTGAGATAATTACACTTGGCTACAAGGATCACTAATCCCTAGAGAGAGAGAGTGCTGGGGAAAATGCCAGACATGTGTCAAGCAACCAGATCACATGAGAACTCCCTCACTATCTTGAGAACAGCAGAGGCCCCATGATCCAATTACCTCCCACCAAGTCCCTGCCTTGACACCTGGGGATTACAATTAAAGATGAGATTTGGGTGGGAACACAAACCCAAACTGTATCAGCTGTAATGACATTTGTTCAACGTTGTAGTTTTTGCAGGGTCTTTTTGCAATAGTCTTGTTATCAGATACATGCATGAGAACCATCTCTTCATGGGCTTCCCTGGCTCTCTCTGTCAGATTTGTTTTTTTAATTTTTTTTTTTCCTGCAAGTGATTCCATTTTAATTTAGATGACTTTCAGATATTTTGTCCTCTCGGCCATGCCTTCTTAAGTATTATAGACCTACATACACACAGAGTGGACTAACATTTAATTAAATGTCTGTAGGTTCAACTACAATTTTCCATTCATTTAGAAAGATAAAAAGCTACAGGCAAACATTGTAGAATTGTCTGGACAGCAGATGCACAAGAATATGACAAACTAGTTGCAGAAGAACAATTAATTCAGTACTGTACATGATTTTGGGGTTTGTGTGTGTATATGTGTGTAAATTGGAAAGGAAAACTTAAAAGACAAAGACTAGATTCTGAAAGGCCTCAATATTGTATCCAACCAATTGAGCATGTATTTGTCACGTACTGTGCCAGCTCCTGGAAATTC
This sequence comes from Homo sapiens, assembly GCF_000001405.40. Classification (NCBI taxonomy): domain Eukaryota; kingdom Metazoa; phylum Chordata; class Mammalia; order Primates; family Hominidae; genus Homo; species Homo sapiens. The sequence goes on from NT_187595.1 coordinate 152,461, forward strand.
AATAGTGAGCAAAGGAGGCATGCTTTCTGTGTTGTGGAGAATCCAGTCCCGTACGGAACCCAAAATTTAATCACACCATCACTCTAGTAAATATGATTACAGCCTATGCAGTCTAGGCAGGGCCTTGCCCATCTATTGCAGGTTTTACCCTACAGAAAACAGAAAACTCTTGCATGGTCCAACTTCAGATTTTTAGATTTTCTGTTGGGAACAGAGGCGATTTATCAGATTATGTTTTATAAAAATTACTCTGATGGCTGTAGTATTGAGTAACTGAAAAAGGGTAAGTGTGATGGCAGGAAGACTGCTACAACTATTATGGTTAATATGTAAGAGAAGAAAACATTAGGAATAAAACTCAGGGAGAATTAAAATAATAGGTGAATTTGGTAATTAGGAGGAAAATAAGAAGCAATTTAGAATCTAAGTGGATGTGAGGATAAAAGAAATATATAGAATGATTATTAGGCATTTATTGAGCAAGTTGCTCCCATTAACTTAGATATATGCAAGGAGGAGCCATAAGAATATTAAAATTAAGTACTTAAATTGGTCTAATTCAAATTTCCAAGGGGCATGAAAATAGTGATATTTAATAGTCAGATGTGGTAAGCTAAATAATGACCTTCCAAAAATGTCTCTGGCCTAATTCCAGAAACAAGTGAAAATTAGCTTATGCAAAAAAGGGAACTTGGAGATGGGGTTATTTAAAGATCTTGATGAAGAGATTTTTCTGGATTGTTTCAACGGTTCTGATGTAATCACAGGCGTCTTTATAGGAGGAGGTCAGAGTTAGCTGTCAAAGATGTGACAACAAAGACGGGAGGTTGATGTGACACTAGAAGAAGTGATAAGTCAGAGAATGCAGACAACTTCTAGAGCCTGAAAAAGCAAGAGAACCAATTATCCCTTAAGAGCCCCCAGAAGGAACTAGCTCTGCTCACACCTTTACTTTAGCTCAGTGAGACTGATTTTTGACTTCTGACCTCTAGAAATGTAAGGTAATACATTTTAAACCGCCAAGTTTGTGGGAATTTGCTATAGCAGCAATAAGACACTGGTAGAGATGTCTGTGTACCTGTGAACTTGAGACTAGATCTGCTCCCCTCTGTGGCTAACTCCTGTCTCAGTATGCCAGCAGCTCCGTCAACAAATCCTATCACACATTTGATGATACAGATTAAGATACGAAATGATGTGCTGCCAAAGCATCTAATTTTAAAGTAATAAATATTATCTCAGATCCTTCTCCCACTTAATATCCTCTCTCTAGGGGAAAACATACTTGAAATCAGCAGCTTTTGCATTTGTCCATAAAACTGAACTTCATCAAAAAGATTATGCTAGGATAATGGGCAGAAGTGGGGCTACCATGAAGGATAGAAAAATATAGTGCCTTCAAGGACAACAAAGGTAAGAGACTGTAGATTCCAACAGACTTGGAAATTGTCCAAGAATGCTGGAAGCATTCACAGCATTCCCTGCAGTGTATGGAAAGGGAACAATTGCCCACAGGGAAAGACTGTGTGATATCTCTATGGAGGCAGAGCTCTAGTGCCAGAACTTTTGGGGCTTGGCAATGTCTCAACCTCTGTATGTATTAGGTTGGTGCAAAAATTATTGTGGCTTTCGCCATTACTTTTAAATGGCAAAAACCACAATTTCTTTCGCACCAACTAATAGCATAAATAGGAGACTTCAAGGGTCCACGTGGGTTAGGGAAAATAAGGTGTTGCTTAAAATTGGCCAGGGGCTTAATATCCTTCTTCACTTTCCTGGGAATCGTAAACTTCCCAGATTCTTGTGCAATGAGAGGAATGGTATACAAATCACAGGAATAGGTGGGGTATATTAGCCCATTATCCATTTGAGATAAGTACTTGAAACTGGGTTTTTGATAGTTTTTAAATATTTAAAATGTAATAATTCTTCCATACATCTTCTTGTGAAATAAGGTTTTCCACATACAGAAATGAAAGAATCTATAAATTATTAAAATTAATAGAAAAGGTCAGCATATTGAATAGACATAACTACATAAATTCATTGATTTACTACATAGAAGCAATAAAGCAGCTTATTTTTAAAATTACATGCAAAATTGTTACTTAAATAGAATTTACAATCGATGCACACCCAAAAATATTGAAGGCATGTAGAAATGAGTTTTATAAACAATGAATAGTTATTTCTGGAGAGAAATATAAAATGTATTAATTTTTAAGGAAATTTGGTGAAGATTCTAAACATGCTATGGAATTTGAAATATGTAGGGAAGTACCCAGAGCCAAGAAGGGACAATGCATGTTTCTGAAAATGATCAACATGAGGAAACGTGCCCTACAGATATCAAGATTAACTGTGAAGCTATAAAATAATACAGTTTGATATATAATTTTGTATTTATTTACAGTGGAAAAAAAGAGAAAAAAAGAACATTTTTCAATGTAAGATAATATTTTATGCCCTTGGGATAGGAAAGTATTTTTTAAATAGGATCCAAAAGTGAAACCACAAAGAAAAGATGAATAGATTTGACTTTGTTAATATGAAGAACTTACATCCTTAAAGAGAGGCTGAAAGTTCAGCCCCAAACTGGGCAACAATAATTACAACATGCATAACTAAAACATAATTCACATACATTAACAATTCTGACAAAACAGTAAGGGAACAACTATGTCAATAAAAGTGTGTTAAAGAAAATGTATAACCCACAGAAGAGGAAACATGAATGACTAATACACATGTGAAGGTATGCTTTAATTCATCAGTAAGAAGAAAAATGTAAATATAGCTACAAAGAAACACAATTATACACTGAAAAGATTGGCCAAAATTAAAGTGAGACAACCTCTACTATTGGGATGGACAAATAGAACCTGGTCCTCTGATGCATTTCTGGTAGAAATATTAACATTTATTTGAAAACAATTTTCCATTATTTATGATATTCCCTTAACTTTGTTGTGTATAGTTTTTATATTTAAGGTGTCTTTCAAGTGATTCACTTTTAATAAGCTGCATTTAAAAATTTCTTAGTATTACCTATAATAATGGTCTGTCTTACAATCGATGGCATCTTAAGACTTAATGACACATGGGAATACATTTGAAAAAATGTGACTCTTGCATCACAGAATTTCTGCTTCCAGTTTCACAGCCTAAAGTTACATTCTTACATGTGTTCACATTTTCCTAGCTACACTGGTCATATCAATACAAATGTAAACAGAATAAGATAAATACTAGCATGACTTGGAAGTAATAAAAAGCTGAGTTTTAAGAACGACAGACATCCTCTGTGAAAAAAATCGATGGATATTATTCCTCCATTGTAGTGGAACTTTTATCTTTTACATCTTCATGGCATTAACCAACAAATATGTTATATTGTCCTGTGTAGACAGTTATTAAATGGGTGCCTAGACTGGTAAAGATCTATACTTATACCTAGTCTCTTAATAAATCACTGTCAACCTCACAAGGATATAATAAATGCAATTTGTAAGGGAGAAATACACAGATGATGAAACAATTGAAAAAGCAATATCTTAATTTCTTTCAGAATGTAAGATAAACTATGCTACTAAATCTAGATAAAGAAAGAGAGAAAATGTGAGTAGACTGATTTGATACAAAATGAATGGATACATAAGAACTATTGAAACTGTGCTTTATGGAGTTGCATGCCCAAGGTGCATTTTCTCAGACCACTCAAGAAGATGCAGAGTGTGGTGGATGGGACACAGCCCTTCTTCAGCCACAGCAGTTCTTTTTCTATTGTATTTTCATCACTGGAATAAAGGTTTTTCATTTGAGTTGCAATTTGAGTGGCCACTTACCTAATTCTCTGTAAGATATTTTGTTAAAAATAAAATACAAATGAAATGTTTTCCCTTCAGACTTCTGTTGAATGTATTTTGATAGGGATTCTTTCTATTCTAAGGGTCAGATTAATGTCATTAAACCTGACTGAAGCTAAAAGAGAATTCATTGTCTCAATTGAAAATGTTTAGCAGTTTGTCAGGCTTCAGGTGCAGGACATTCTTTTTTTTTTTTTTTTTTCCTTATGCATCAGGAACCCGTACAAGCTATGGCTCCACTCTTTTCTTGTCTGTATGCTGACTTCCATCTCAGACAGGCTTCTTTTTTTTTTTTTATGGTGACCTCAAGACAACTGCATTAGTTGCAGATCTCACAGCCCCTTACTTCTCATTCAATGGAGAAGAGAAAGCTCAGAATACTAAATAGTTTTTAAAAAGTCAATCAATCAGCTTAGGCCTAATTTTCATGCCATGATTCAGCCTGGTGTTCCCAGGAATTTCTAGCTCAAGGAGAATACAATTACGCTAACACGTTAAGCTGTCAGGGCCCACTGAAAGGAGAGTAGGCCTTATGCTCCACCAAGAAAATCACGTATAATATCAGAAACAGTTACTCAATTTTCAGGGCCCAGTGAAAAATGAGAGCACAGGATCCTTTGTTAAAAAGAAAATCTAATGATCTTTAGACGTGCTTAAATCAAGCATGGAACTCTTACAAGTATGGGGCCTTGTTGTACTGCACAGGCTGTATTCCCATGAAGTCCTCACTGTGTACTTTCTAACCAGAAGAAGAGTGAATACATTCTGGATGGCAAAAATGGCATATGTGCAATATGTAAATTACATGCAAGATTTTATTCACCCTTTACCATTTTAGTTCCAGCTGGTATTTGGGGTTTTGGAAAAGTCCAAAACTAAAAAAAACAAAACAAAACAAAACAAAAAACTTAATAATAATAAAAACCATGAAACATACATTATTTTCTTTTATACACTTTATGCCTTTTTTTTACATCTGTATCTTAACTTCCATTTTTTGTCTCCATCATCCTCACTTGTATATACCAATATCTCTTATTCTACAAGAAAAAAGAAAAATTCTCAAGTGAGCAGAATCTCCTTCTCTCACATTAATGCAGATGTGCTGACCTCGTTCATTCAATCCTTAATTATATTTATCTCCTCTGTTTTCCTGGAGCACTTCATAAGTCTCTCACTTTTCCAGTGACTTCTCAGTTTTCATTATTTCTGAATCTAACTATGATACACTTATAGTATGCAAATCAATGCCTTGCAACTAGCAGGGCCCAATAAATATTTGATGAGTAAATGAGTATCATTATTTACTTTACTGTTATGCTTATTTGCATTCCTGGCTCTGACTGAATTCCACAATTTAATTAGGTAATATATGTTAAAGCCCACATGTAATTCTTGCTACTAGTCCATTCTCAGAACAAAATGTAATATGATTTGAATTTGTATGATTACATCATTTGAATAAATGATTCAAATTTTTATATCTCAGAGAAATCTGCTTTGGGCTGCTTAATCTCCAACTTTGCCATGAGTACAGAAGGCATGTTATACATAATATTTTGTCTTAAATAAATCATGCTTCAATAAACATAATTATAATCTGTGATTTTCTAAATGAAGAAATCATCTCAAAGTAGTATTTTTTTCTTTTTCTTTTTAATTTAATTTTATTTTATTGTTATTATACTTTAAGTTTTAGGGTACATGTGCACAATGTGCAGGTTTGTTACATATGTGTGAGAGAGAGAGAGAGAGAGAGATATTTGCCTTGTGTTATCTTAATTATGTTCCAAGCCCCATTATATTTTAATTTAGGAAAGCGTTATACAAACATGAAAAAGACTTGCTTGCTGGAAGACTTTATAATTATGTTTCATATACCAGGTTGTCATGACTAATTACTCACTTTTTTACCTTAAAATGAAAACCAAGTTAGTGACGCTCCATATTCTTAAACAAAATGATATTAGCACAACATTATTTTTTGCTTAAAGACCTTACTAGAGTACAAACATGTTTGCATACCTTATCTGTAATTGCAAATGTTGCTGTAGCAGGAAAGCTATTAACGTTGTGTGGTGAACATGAAAAAAATGCTCTCATTGAAAGAAAAAATATTAGGCAGATTATTTCATTATTAGCTTGATTGGTTTTTAATCTGGTCATCAGCCTTCTGCCTCATGCTTACAATAATTTGCATTCTTCTAGTAAACTTTAGCTGAAATGACCAAAAAAGTCAACATATTTTCCAAGCAGTAAGTCTACTAATAGAAAAAATCAGTTTTCAAGATCAGGTTTTATGTTGTTTGAATGTAATTCTGCCTTAAAAATATATTATTTTGTAATGATTAGTGTCACTTTGTATGGCCATTCATGTAAATAGTATATCTCTTACTACTAATTTTTTTATTCTAATAAGAAAAAAATTCATAACACTTTCAGGAAAATCAATTATAAAATCTACTTTATACTAAATAACATTTTCTTTCATGTTTACTGATATTTATATACTTATATATGTTCATTTACATGTATATTATTTATATGTATCCATCTATTTATACTAACAGAAAATCTCTATGTAATGAGATTACATAGATATGTATGCAAATAGATACATAGAGTGAGAACAAACAGGATGTTATCACAACATCTACACCAGTGAGACGCTACAATTAAGAGACCACTGAATATATCTACATGCTGAAACTTTCAAACACAAACTGGTTAATTTTGTGAATATAAGGTTGCTTAATGGCTTAAATATTGAGACTGTAGCTTAGTAAAAAATGCAGCAATAAACTTGATGAAAAGTTGAAACTAATTTAGGTGTTCCCAAGGTTACACATGCTTTATATTTTGTAGAAAAATATTATTTGACTGTATTACAAAATAATCCATATGCTTATACTTTAGGACAAGAAAGAATGAAAAGAAAATTGAAGCAACTGTCAAAATGTCTATGGAGGAAAAGAGGATTTGGTGACCCAAATTATCAAGCTTGTCATGAACATTAATTTAATAAGTCTGTAATCACACAATGATATTCAAATGGAAAATTGAGGAATTATTTAATCAATTTTATCAATCTGGATAATCCAAGCTCAAATCCTTTTTGATCCTCAATAGCCTGGGAAGATTTTAGGCATTTGTATTTTTCATATAATTGCCCTAATTCTCTCTTTAACTTTTTCTTCATATTCAAAGCTAAACTCATCCTGCATTTAAATTTGCTCTTTCTATGTATGGAACAAAGTGTTCTGACATGGAATAAGTAGTAAAGTTAATACTCATAAAGCATTAATGAAAATAAATTATAGGAACACAAAGGGATTTACACATATATTTCTTTTGCAATTATGGTGAGATAAATATTTTTTCTTTTTGAAAAAATATATGTATTCTCCCATAAAACTTACCTTATTCAGCACTTACTTTAGTAGACAATCAGTAACTACATTTTCTCACACAAATTTGATAAATGTAGTGTGTGTGTATGTGTGTGTGAGTGTGTTTAACTGGGAAAGTTAGTACATCACAATAACAATAACAATAAAACACTGTGTGAAGGTATACATATTTATGGTACATTTCAAAAAACCATTTTGTTCCTTCCTTTGAGGAAACAGAAAATTCTAAGAAAATCAGTTAAATATAGTATACTTGCTACGCTAATTGTCTTACATAAAAAGAGATGTATTAAGATGTTATACATGTGGTATGCCATCTGTTTCTGTTTTTGTTGTATTCATCACATGCATCTGTCCTAATTCAGCTATAAGGAAATACTTAAATATAATTTACACATCAAAGCTATTGCAAAAAATCAATTTTATGCATGTGAAACCCTCCTTTTTCTGAAATGTGTCCTAAGTTCAAAGATCAACACAGTTTCAAATTAAGCCTCGCTCTTCAAAATGAAATTTTTCAAAAATTTGGCTGGATAATAGGGATCTGAATCACTCAAATGTGTAAAAGTTGTTTCAAAAGTTATAGAGGCCATCATTTGTATGGTTCATCTATTTCAGAGAACTATGAAAACTGATCTTAGAAAGTTGAACTAAAAAATTTTGTTGTATTTCACTATGTTCATGTCATCTAAACTATAAATGTTTTAAAATAAAATATATACAGCTATAGAAAAAGATTATTTTATAACATATGCTTAGTGATGATCATCCTAATATTACGTCTTGCATTAAAAATATTTTGTCTTGAATTAAAAGTATACATTTAAGTCTTTATTAAAGGGAATAAAATGTATATTCTGAAAACAATCAAATGAACTTACCTATATATCAACTGAATAAAATAATGGTATGGAAGAAAAGAATATGAATACAAGTAGGTTTTGAATATAATACTTTGACTATGTACTCTTTGGCTAAAGACAAATACAACTATAAATCAATATTGAATTCTAATTAGTTGGTTCGTGTTATTAGTTCAGCAATGATGTGACTGTGAATACTACAGTACTAGTGAGTGAGGAAGAAGTTAGTGGCTGGTTAGACAAATAGAGAGGGAATGTCTCAGGAGAAGGATAGTGAAGGTCATGTTCACTGGAATAACCAAAGGACAGTACCTATACTGTCTCTGCATCAAACAGGAAGAAATGTGGTGAAGAACTTCCTCTTATGCCAGGATATTGCTCAGAAGGGACTGTCCCAACTTGGGTGCAGTTGCAATAAATTAACCTAAATGTCCTTAACTTGACCCAGCTCATTATAATGTCATTAACATGACATTAGCATTGTGGTTTTAGCCCTGCCTTGAGTTTCACTTAGGCACTCCTGGGTAATAACTGAGATGGAGTCACTCTGTCCAACAGCAGGCATGCACAGATGCAACACCCCTAGGACAGAACATTACCTCTCCCGTTAGGGCAAAACCCAAAGAAGACTTCCTGGCTTCTGCCACATAAAAGATACAGAACGCAGTCCTGTTTCTGACAACCTTCTTTCAGGACCCCTCTCTGCTGAGAGCTTTCATTTTGCTTAATAAATCCTACCCTACTCTACTCACTCTCTAGTGGCTACTTGCCTTATTCTTCTTGGTCATGGGACAAGAACTCAGACCTAGTTGAACTAGGGACTAAACAGACTGCAACACTAACAAGTGAGTAAACATTTGAAGTTTTAACAGTGTGAGAAGAAAGAGACAAAAAGAAAAGGCAAAGAATAACTTTGGAGTATAAATTAAAAATTTGGAGGCATCAATATAAACTCATTCTTGATGTACATGCACATATACATTCATATGTATATATGCATATAATTTTAGCTATTTCTGTAGCAGTAAGTACAATAATTCAATATATTGGCTTCCAGAAGGTCACTAAATGAAATTAGTGCTCCTTAGAGTAATGGTTGATTGTAGGGCTGGTAAAGGGATAGTTTTGAATGAGCCTTAAAATTCTTATGCCTGCAAAATAAGGAAATGTGCTAATAATTCTGAGATCATGACAAAAAGACACAGAAGGAAACTTAAGGGAACATTCACTGCAAATTTACAACAATTTTGAGCACTTAAACAAATAATGAAAGTCATACTTTATAATACATTAAATAAAATTAAATAAAACTATCATAAATGAATAGAAAAGGCCAACTAACAAATATTAAATAATGATAAAATTATAAAAGTGAAAGTTACAACAATTTTTCTAAGAATTCAGGCAAGTTTTGCTAATGAATGCTAAAACTACTGGTTCATAAATTTGATAACAAACAGGATAATTGTATTAGTGAAATTATTTTTTATTAAAAAGGATGAAAATGAAATGTGGAAAAACTCACAGATATTACCTCATTCAAGAGCTCAAAATTTATCAGCAATATTGAAACTGTAATCATATACCTTGGAATGTGATGCACTGCAGAGAACAAAGAATTCTGTTTTGTAGTGTCCCTGCTAAATAACATGAATTTAATAATGCAGACACATTTAAAACTCAAATTAAGTTTCCATGAAACAACTGGCTTACACTTTTCAAAGGAAAAATATTAAGACAAACAAAGAAAGGCTGTCAAACTTTTCTGGATTAAAGGAAACTAAAGAGCATGACTCAGTGTGATTGATAATATTGGAGAAATTTCTACAAATGTCATTGTCAGGACCTGAAAACCACATCAAAACTATGCAAAGAAGTAATGAGTATTAGGGGATGCATCACAAATGCCACACATTTTATGAAACTGGAGACATTTGGAATTGTGTAGAAATAAATCAAATGAGAGGAATGGTAAGTAATTTATTGACTGGGAGAACTTAAAACATACAAGAGTGCAGAAAGGTAGAACAAAGAGAAGCAAGGCGATTTACCTTGAGGAACTTACCATTTTTCAGGAATTAAATATACCAAGTATCATAGTACGTAGCTGAGATATGGTGTGTGAAAATATCCAATTGTTTGTAAGTCTTTTAAATGCCTTTGGTTATGCAGCATTGGCCCATAGAATACTTGGAATATAGTTTCTAGAGAAACAAAACAAGACTGTTCCTAGACTCACAAACCCAAAGGACCAATGCAGGTGGTACAGGGAGCACTAATTTAAATCTGCAGGATGAAGAGAATGTCCACATACTGTATATTGAGGACACTAAATCCACCTTTCCCTGCCTTACATCTAAAACTCTCCCTCCCAAGTAGATGAGAAGACACTAGATATATTTCGAAATTCCCAAGGAAAACTGACTGATTACCTGATTATCTAGGGGAAAGTAAATCAATGTAATGTCATTCTAATTCTAATCTTTAATTGTTAAGGCTACAGGTTAATAAACCATCGATCTCAAGGAGCCAGATTTTTTGTTTCATTTTTCTCTATTGTTTTTGCATTTTCTATTTGAATTCTGCTTTAGTCGTTATTATTTTTATTTTCAATTTGTGCTTAATTTGCTTTTTAAAATCTAGTATCTTAAGGTGGAAGCTTAGGCCATTATTTGAGAACTTTCTTTTGTTATTATGTGAATATCTACTGGTATACATTTCCAACGAAGTATTACTTTTGAGATATCCCGTGAATAATTTTTAATTTTCATGTTAACTTATTCTTTGACCACATTATTTATATAGGTACTATTTAGTTTTCATATATTTCAAGATTTCTCCAGATTTCTTTATGTTATTGATTTCTAATTTGATTCTCTTATGGTCAGATAACATTTTGTTTAGCTCAAAATCCTTGAAATTTATCGGAATATGTTATTGTCCTTTAATACGGTATACCTTGATAAATGTTTCATAAGCACTTTACAAACAATGCACATTTAGCTGCTATTGGGAAGACAGAAAGTATTGTTAAAATCTTTTATATTGTGTCTGTCTACTTTTTCTGTTATTTACTAAGAAGAGGTGTTGTATTTCTTGACTATAACAATAGATTTTTTCTTTTCAGTTCTGTCAGTTTTTACTTCGTGTATATTTTAAACTTTTTATTAAGTAAATAAAAGTTCATGATTCTTTTTCCTTCTTGATGAATTCACTGAATTTTTGTTGTAAATTAACCCTCTTTATCCCTAATTATATTTTTCTTCTCTAAAACCTACTTCCACTGATAATATAGACTCAACAGATTCCTTTAACTAGTGATAGCATGGTATTTTTCTTAATCATTTAATTTTAAACTTGTATTTATATTAAAATGCAATTTGTGTAGGCATTGTATAGTTGGGTATTGCCTTTTCATCCGTTATGGCAGTCTCTGCCTTATAATTTAAGTGGCTAAAGCATTTACACATAATATAACTTTAGATAAAGTTAGCTTTAGTCTATTGTCTTACCATCTATTTTTCATTTGGTTCATTTTTCCTTTTTCTTGGTATTTTAGTGATTGCTTAGGATCTAGAGAATATATTTTAAATTTATTACAGTTTGTTAGGTGACATTATACAAATTCACATATCGTGTAAAAATCTTGTAATAGTATACTTTCATTTTTTCTCTCCTGAGCTTGTTGCTTTTGTTGTCATATTTTAAGTATTAATACACTTACATGCATAATATGTTGTACTTGTTTGAAAGGCAGCCATGTTTCAAAGAGATTATATAATAAGAAAATTAACTTTTAAAATTACAATGTACTTGAAAACTTCTAGTGTTCTTTCTTTAACACTTCTTATAATGCAGGTCTACTGTTAATAATTTTATCTTACCTTTTGTGAGTCTGAAAATATCTTCATTGTGACTTAATTTTCGAAAGATATTCACTAAGTATAGAATGCTAGTTGGACATGTTTTTTCTTTCAGTACTTTGAAGATGTTGATCTATGATCTTCTCCATTGTATTGTTTCTGGTAAGAATGCTCCTCTTGTTCTTACTTTTGTTTGTTTGTAACTAGCTAATATTTTCCTTGAATGATTTAAGATTTTTATAGCTGATGTGGAGAAATTTGCTAATGATGTAGTGCAGTTATTTACTTCAAGGTTCTTGTGTTTTATACTTGTTAATCTTCTTTGATATGTGATTTTATAGTTTTCATAAAATTTGGAAAAATATAAGACATCATTATTTTAAATATTTTTGTGTGCATCACCATCTACACTGCCTTTTGTGGAAACTCTAATTTTATGTATTAAACCAACTGGAATTTTCTTACAGCTAACTGATGCTCTTTTCAATTTTTTTTTTTTTTTTGCAAATTTCTTATTTTCTCTGTATTTCATTTTATTTATTTATTCCATTTTTTAAATTTAATTTTTTTTTGAGACACAATCTCGCTCTGTCTACGTCAGACTGGAGTACATTGGTATGATCTCAGCTCACTGCAACCTCCGCCTCCCAGGTTCAAGCGATTCTCCTGCCTCAGCCTCCCCAGTAGCTGGGATTACAGGCACGTGCCAGTACACCCGGCTAGTACATTTTGTTTCATCTTGGACATTGCAATTTTCATCTGTGAAAGTTCCATTTGGGTCTTTTCATATCTTTCCTGTCACTCCTAAATTTTTGAACATAAGAGATGCAGTTATAATAGTGTGTTAATGTGTTTTTCTTCTAGTTTTAACATCCATGCATGTATGATCTTTGTGTTTGTCTTATGTATTCGATTCTCATTTTCATTATGGATTAGGCTCTTTTATTCTTTATATGTTGATTATCTTTGATGTATTGTCAGATTTGTGAGGTTTACTTGTTGTACCCTAGATATTTTTGTATTCCTATAAATATTATTCAGTTTTAATCTGGAATAAAGTTAAGTTACTTGGAAAATATTTCATCCTTTTAGAGTCTGGCTTACATGATTTCTTAGGCAGTTCTAGAACACTGCTCAGTTAAAGGCTGGCTATTCTTCACTTGTGAGGCAAGATCATCCTTGCTCCTATTCAATGCCCCAATAATGTGAAGTTTAACCTATCTGGTAATGGGAACTGGCATTATTTCTGGTTCCTTGTGAATTCCGGATGATTCTTTCAATTTTCTCAGGTAGTTCCTCATATTTTGCATTGATGAGTACTCACCTAAAAACTCACAGGGTCCTTTGTCAGATATCTGGGGCTTTCTTTCTGTGAAGCATTTGCCTCTCTTGTACTCTGTCCTGGAAACTTCAGCAGCCTTGGTTTCCCCAGACGTTAAGCTGTGACTAGCACAGAAAATCATCTGGACTATGTCTGAGTTACCTTTCCCTCTGCCATATCCTGGAAACTCTCTAAAAGCAGTAAGATGGGGCAATTGTAGAATTTAGCTTTTCTTCAATCCCTTAGGGATCACTGTTGCCTGATGTCAATGTCTTAATGATTATTACTATATATACATATATGTGTATGTATATATATATACACACACGTGTATATATAAACCACACATATATGTATACATCTCAATTCTACAATATATATGTGTGTACATATATAGTGTGTGTATATTAGACATTGTTATATGTGTATGTGTCATATATACACTATATGCACATGTGCTTATATGTATACATGCATATATACATATACACATATACAAATATAATCATACACACACACATATATATGTATATATAGTCTGTTTATTTTGGTTAGTTCAGATGGAAAAATAAATCTTGTCCTTGTTACTTCATATAGGTCAGAAGCAGGTGTCTCTCTCACTTTGTTTTGACTGTAATTTTTCATACTATGTTTCTTAATTTCAAGTATTTATTTTTATAGTCAAATTTTTCAATAGTTATTGTAGGATTTTTTCCATAGTTTTATTATTTCCTGTCTTAATTATTCTTGTTGGCGTCTCTGTTTTTTTTTTCTTTTAAAAACATAATTGTTTCACAAAATAATGAAGTACAGAGAATGATTATTAGAATTGTCTGTAAGTCCAATACATGATTCAACATCTGTATATTTAAGGTACTGTACAATAGCTTTTAGAGAAAGATTTAGTTAGCCACTACTAAATATTCGTTTCATTATTCTTAGTGCTGTGATTACTGAAAGGACTGCACTTTCTAATCCCCTTGACATGGATCTAAATCTAATAGCACTTCCCAATATTGAAAATATTGTACTATTTTCCACATTTGTCACTCTTATCATTTCTTATATGTTCATATTTTTATAATATAAGGTCCCAGAGGACAAGGATATTTGTATGCTCTGTTCACTCCTGTATTTCAAGAGTCTAGACAGATGCTGGGCTAGAGTAGGCACTAACTATTAATTTCTGAATAAATGGGGGATGCTAGTAAAGAGTTAAATCTTTGGATAGTGTTCCAAGCTGGAAGTGGTCTATGACTCCTGAGAACTCAACTTTCGCCGTCTAAAGGCAGGAGCACTAGGTATGAAGATTTTGAAACTGGCCCAAGTCATTATTCTGACAATAGCTAGCTTTGAGTCAATTTGAGTAGGATACTTCATTTCTCTTTTGTTGTTTTTGTTGTCAGTTAGTTTAATGGTTTTGTTTCCTTACTAATTAAAGGAGGTATTTAATTTGCATTATTCTGATGGTTGACTTTTACATTTTATGTAACTTTCATGTTGTTGAATTGGCCACTGATTTCCTGGTTTTGTTACTCTTCCTTTAATCTCATAATTCATTTTGCCTATATTTTCTTACTAATTTCTTTTCCCCTCCACTCTCCTATTCCTTCTGGCTAGCATTTAATCTCTTTTTTTAAACTCTTTTACTTCCTATTGTTTCTCTGTCCCTCCATCTTTTTCTTTTGCCGGCTTGTTCATGCCTTCTTCTTTTCTCTTTATCATTGTTTCCCTTTCCCTTTTTTTCTTCTTTTCCACTCTGCTTTCTCATTTATTTTTCTCTCATTCTTAATCACACATGTTCATTCATTTAACAAATTTTTATAAATTAATAAGCACAAGTCATGTGCTAAGTATTATGTTATATACTGGGGAGATGAGGTAAAATAGGCTGATGAAGTACTTGGCCTGATAAGTTTAGAATCTGTCAGAGTGCAATGCCTTCACTATATCAAAAAATACAGGCAAGAAGCAAGAGTGAGGGTGTTAAATAATTTCTTTCAATATACCAAAACTTATGGGATGCAGCTAAGGTAGTTCTAACAGAGAAATTTGTTGCAAAAAAATAAATATAAATTAGAATAATAGAATGATTTCAAATAAACAACCTAAATGTACACCTCCAGAAACTAAAAAGAAAAATAAATCCTAAGCACTAAGTCAGCAAAAGGAAGGAAATGATGGAGATTAGAGCATAAATAAATGGAGTAGAAACTAGATAAGCTTTAGAAAAGATCAACAAAACTAAGAGTTGGGTTTCTGAAAAGATAATAAAAATAGAAAAAAACTTTAGACTTAACCAAGAGAAAAACAGAGAGATCTCAAATAAGTGAAAGAGGAGACATTTCTATCAATACCATAGAAATATAAAGGATTCTAAAGATGATACTACGAACAATCCTACACCAACAAATTAGGCAACCTAGAAGAAATGGATAAATTCCAAGAAATATAATACCTATCAAGAATGAATCATGAAGTAGAAAGTCTTAAGAGATTAGTAATGAGTAAAGAAATTTCATAAGTAATCAAACACCTCCCCAAAAGAAAAGTCTAAGACCTCATGGTGTTACAAGTGAATTCTATTAATACCAAGCCTTGAAATAAATTAATGCCAATCAACTTTTCCAAAAATTGAAAAGAAGGAAACACTTCCAAGCTCATTCTGAGAGGTTAGCATTACCCTCAACCAAAGCCAGCTAATGACACCTCAAGGAAAAAAAAAGTAGACAAATATCCCTGATAAAAATACACACAAAAATCCTAAAAAAAAATACTGGTAAACCCAATTCAACAGCATGTGAAAAGAATCATACATAGTTATCCATTAGAATTTGTGCCTGGATGCAAGGAAGATTTAATATACACAAATAAATCAATATGATATACCATGTTAACAGAATAAAGGATACAAATTGTAAGAACATCTCAATAAATATACAATAAGCATTTAACAAAATTAAACATCCTTTAAAACTCTAAAACATGATAAAATTTCTCAACAAAATAAGTGTAGAAGAAACTTAACACAATAAAGTACGTATATAAAAAACCCACATCGAATATCCAGAATACCAGTTGTCAAGAGCTGGTGGGTGGGGAAAATGGGGATGTATTGATCAAAGATTCCAAACTTTCAGTTATAAAATGAATAAGTTACGTAGGTCTAACATACAGCATGGTAACTATAGTTAATAATACATAATTATATACTTGAAATTTACTTTCCCATCATACATATACACACCCATAAATGGTAACTATGACTGGTGATGAATGTGTTAATTAATCTGACTGTGGTAATCATGCAGTAGTCCCCCCTTATCCATGCAGGATATGTTTCAAGAATTC